>NC_000005.10:24247214-24550244 GCF_000001405.40 Homo sapiens | reverse complement strand
GTACAATTCAATGTATTTTCACACACTGGTTGAAATTTAGAATACTTTAAACATTTGCCCCCTTTTCTTCTATGTATTATTTTCATGTACTTTATTTCTATATCCAAAGACATGACTATTATTGTTTTGTATATTCAGCAATTATTTATATTTACCACATATTTGCTGTTCTGGTATTCTTCATTCTCTTCAGTGATTTTATCTGGGATCATTTTCCTTAGGCCTGAAAATACCAGTTTAATATTTCTTTTACTGAATGCCTGTTGGGATAAATTCCCTGGTTTTTGTCCAAAAATATACTTATTTCACCTTTCTTTGAAACCTATTTTGATACAATATAGAATGTTATACTGCTAGTTATTTTTTTAATCAATGCTTTAAGATGTCATTCCAGGTTGGGTGCAGTGGCTCACGCCTGTAATCTCAGCACTTTGGGAGGCTGAGGCGAGCAGCTCACCTGAGGTCAGGAGTTTGAGACCAGCCTGGCCAACATGGTGAAACCTCGTCTCTACTAAAAACACAAAAATTAGCAGGGCATTGTGGCAGGCGCCTATAATCCCAGCTACTCGGGAGGCTGAGGCAGGAGAATCGCTTGAACCCAGGAGGCGGAGGTTGCAGTGAGCCAAGATTGTGCCATTGCACTTCAGCCTGGGAGACAAGATCCAGACTTTGTCTCAAAAAAAAAAAAAAAAAGTCATTCCATTGTGTATTGGCTTCTGTTATTTTTACTGAAACACGAACTATTACCCACTTTTGCTGCTTTGACATTAATGTGTCTTTCTCCTAGGTACTTTCATAGTTTTCTCTATGTCCTGAGTATTTAAAATTTTGAGTATAACTGGGTTAGGTGTGATTTTCTTCTCATTTATCCTTTTGGGAGTTCTTCCATTTTATTGAATGTGTAGGCTGTAATCTTTCACCAGTTTTTAAAAATTTCTTACCTATTTCCTCTTGGAATACAACTTCTACTTCGTTCTTACTCTTTCTCCTTCTAGAAATCTGATTTCATGTCTTGCAGCTTTTGATTGTGCTTCACGAGCATTCAGTGACCTTATGTAATTTTCGTTTTCATATTTTTGTTTTCTGCATCTTTCAGTTTGTGTATATTCTATATATACGACTTCACCTGGGAATTTTTGTTTTGGCCTCTGAAAGATTAAACTTACATTTTTCTGTATCCAATTTGCTGTAAAACCTCTCTGTTGATTTATGAATGTCAGATATTGTATTTTCAGTTTCAGAATGCTCTTTTGATTCATTTTATCTCAATTATTATCTATTTTTCCACCTGTTTTATATTCTTAAATACATTAAATATAGCTATTTTTCAGCCTTGTTTGCTAAATCTGTTATTCAAATATGGTTTCTCTCTATCTCTACTTTTATTCTTGTATATTAATCCCCTAATTGTGCTTTTTTGCATGTATAGTAAAATTTATTTTTAACCAAACAATATGTATAAAGAACACAAAGACTCCAGAGTGAGGTATTTTTTACTGGAAAGTTTTCTTTTTGTTTATCAGATTATTTGCTTATCACTCTGATTATTAATTTTATATGTTAAGTTGGCTAAGATGTGGTACACAGTTGATCAAACTAACTAGTCTCATTGTGGCTATGAAGGTATTTTTTAGATCTGCTTAACATTTATAATCAGTAAACAAATAGAGCAGATTACTCTCCATAATACCATTGGACCCCATCAAATCAGTTGAAGGCCTTAAAAGCAAGGATTGAGGTTTCCAAAAAAAAAAAAAAAAAAAAGAGGAGGACTGGGAATTCTATCTCAAGACTATAGCATAGAAGCTCTGCTGAGGTTCCCTTGGCTGGGCTCGGTGGCTCAAGCCTGTAATCCCAGCATTTTGGGAGGCCAAGGCAGGTGTATCCCCCAAGGTCAGGAGTTTGAAGACCAGCCTGGCCAACATGGTGAACCCCCATCTCTACTAAAAATACATGGGGCATGGTGGCAGGTGCCTGTAATCCCAGCTACTCAGGAGGCTGAAGCAGGAGAATCGCTTGAAGCTGGGAGGTGGAGGTTGCAGTGAGCTGAAATCACGCCACTGCACTCCAGCCTAGGTGACAGGGCAAGCTTCAGTCTCAGAAAAAAAAAAGAGAAAAGAAACCCTGCTGAGGTTCCCATGTGGTGGCCTAGTCTGTGGATTTCTGATTCAAGACTGGAATATCAACGCTTACATGAATTTTGAATCTGCTGCCCTTCCCTGTAGATTTTGGACTTGCCAACCCTGACAATTGCATGACCCAATTTCTTAACATTTGTTTGCTTTACGCTTCTTCAACAATTGACAGAAGTCACCAGGAGGAATTTGTCTGTGTGTTTTGCCACTTAAGCTTGACATGAAGAGCAGTGTATCTTCTACTTTCTCTTCTCCTGAGCGATGGCCATTTGTCAAGGGACCAGTGTGTATGTTTAGTTTCTAGAGGCACTGAGAATTGTTGAATGCCCTTAGGTTAAAAAATAAGTCTCTGTAAATCCTCAAGTTCAATTCCATAATCTCTGGAGGACTTCCAACTTTCACCTCTTTACTTAAAAAACAAAATTGAATCTAAGAACCACAATTCTCTGGAAATGTGGGTAATTATATTACAGCTTTCAGAAGCTTTCAGCCTTGCCCTTTAGCCTCCTACAGACTCTATTCAACAAAAGTCTTTTGGGGAAGACTGGCAATGTGCTTGAAGACCTTCAGTTTACCAATATTTTTACTCCAGTACCATAAAAACTCTTATTTTTTTTTCTCCTAGAAGTGCCCTTTCCTTGGCCAGTTACAGATACTCACCTTCAAGCCCCTGGCCAAGAATTGGCAAATTCCCTCGGGAAAAAGCAGCTGCCAGTAATCAGCTCACATCTGTACAATTCTCTTCTCTCAGGTTTCAGTTTATTCAGTTCTTGTTTACATAGCAATTTGGCCCTGGCAATATGATTTTCTGTGATTTATTTAGCTGTTCTACATGATGACAGTGGGAACGTTGGCCTGCTGTTGCTTACCTACCTCATCCTACACTTAAGATAAATTACAGATGTTTACAATGATCTAACTTACAGTTTCAAAGGCAAATTTGGATTAGCATTTATATTATTAGCAGTTCACTAAAAATTTTAAATCGTCCTCTGGTAATCCATGTATACATAGTCCACTGATCTAATTTCATAGTTAACTGGAAGTCCTGTATATCTTACAGCCCAATCTTTTTCAGTTTGAAGGCTAAAATTTTCTTTGTGCAGATTTATACTTTTAACATAGAGTAATTGTTGACCCCATGTTTCATTATGAACTTCTGGCTCTCTTTCACTTCATTTAAAATATTCAGGCTTTCCAAAATCATTGCTCATCTTTTTTATTTATTTGTTTGACATCTGGCTCTGATGTCCATTTTCTTTTATAAATAAATAAAATAGATAAAAGGAAAATGTACTATGTGCTGTGAGAAGTTTGGAGTCCACAAGAGTAGAAAACTTGGTTCTTATTTTCAAATAACTATACTTTTAGTTTCAGAAAAAATTACAAAAATAATAGTTCAAAATTGTTACAGGTTAAGAGTTTATATGTGTATATATTTGTGCACACAAATTATATATGTATACCCATGTACATGCTCAGTTATATATACATATATACATAAGCAATTTAAATATTTAATTTTGTATACTATTGTATATACATATACACACACATGTAAAAAGTATAATTGGATAAATAGGATCTTTATAGATGAGTACGAAGTTTTAGGGTGGATAAATCAATGTCATGAGGGAGGACGCAAATCACAGAGTCATGACATTGATATGTTTGGGGATAGGTATATTCATCTGATGAAGATATGAATATCTCTCAGTCAATCGAGCAATCCCTTTTCCTTGTGAGAGCGTTGATCTTGATTTCTTAATTCTTTTTTATTGGGGAAAACACAGAAAGTTAACCTAGAACAAGAATCTTATTTTTATTTTAATTTAGGGTTGCTTGGCTATATTTCAGAGGATCTTTGTACCCCCTGATACTGTGTTAGCATTGTTTGTGTATTTTGTACACACACACACACACACACAAGTTTTTTCAAGGATAGCATTCATAGCCTTTTAAAAAAATGCTCATTTTAGTTCGTGTCTCAAAAATCAAATAAATGTAAAGATCCAACTTCGTTTATCTCTTTCCTCTCTTTGACCATAGTCCCTCGAGACCGTAGTCTGCTGCCTAGTCCTTCTCCTTCAGGAATCCAGTCAGGTATTTGTCAACCTATACCTTCTGAAAAATAAAAGCACCTTTAGAAGGCTTAGAGGCACAGACCTTCAAATATTGTCTCTGTAGCAAAGTCTCCAAACTTTTAAAGTCCGAAAATACCACCCTTTGAATTTCTATCACTTCTTTAGTTTCATTCAATCAGTTACAGAAATATTTCCTTTTTTTATTTTCTTTGAAGACAGAGTTCTACTCTGTCTCCCAGAATGTCATGGCAGGATCATACCTCACTGTAACCTTGCATGCACGGGCTCGAGCAATCCTGCCTATGAGTCCCAGTTGAGTCCCAAGTAGTTGGGACTACAGGCATGCCACCATGACTGGCTAATTAAAAGAAAAAAAAATGTAGAGAGGAGTCTGTGTTGCCTAGACTGGTCTTGATCTCCTGGCCTCAAAAGATCCTTCTGCCTTGGTTTCCCAAAGCACCGAGATTATAGGTATGAGCCACATGCCAGGCCTGAAAGGCTCCTTAGTGAATACTTACACTGAGCCCTCACCTGCGTTTAAAATTCTCTGTCATTATGCCTTTCTTGGTGAAAAGGAGGAAAGAATGATTCTCAGATATTTGTATAGCTCATAGCAAAGAAGTTATATTTCCCTACTAATTTTTCTGTGATCTTCTTTTAAATGAATCTCTTGCTTTTAAATGTTGTAAATTTACTTAACAACTTCCTAGACACCTGTGTACATATATCCCTATATTGTAAATCCAAGATTCTTAAGAAGACTTCTCCAAGTTGTGGGGAAAAAATAAGGTGTAAAAACGTTCAATGTCATTTTCAGACCACAAGGAGATAATTTTCATAATTCAGTGATCTTCAAAAATATAAGAAGAGTCCTGGCTTCTAAAATAATATGAACTTTCTCTAAATCATTTTCTCAATAACTCTCTTTACAAGTGATAAGCTAATACATGAGAAATAATGTGTCTATTTTGTGTTTTATATACCACTTAAGAACTTAGAAGGAGGGTTCGTTAACTTAAGTACTTAAATTGTTGACCTTTGAAGCAGTTAATGCCTGTAAATATATTTTTTAAATTTCTGGCCTTGGAAGTAGATAATGCCTGTGAAAGTGTGTTTCTGAAATAAATAAATGCCTTTAGTGTAATCTTAATATCTTTCCAATGCTAGCAAATAAATATATCCTAGTTGAAATGCTTCAAGAAGTGACATAGCAACATTTTTAGCAGGACCTGCCTTCTAGAATTATATAGCATTCTCATGAAGAAGTCTGATCTCTTGTAGGTTCTTGAGTAATTCAAGTTGACTTCAAAGAGAGCTCCTACATCTCCAGGACCATCCCAGATTGGACACCTTAGTCAGAAGTGGCCACAAGCACAAGGCCAACTTTCAATAGGCTGCAGACTTGGAAGACTAAATGGGAAAGAGGAATCCCTAGTTATTTACTCCAGATCCTATTGACGTTTTCCCTCTTGGAGGAAATCTCTGGGGAACCCTGTCAAATGTGAAGAATGAACCACTTAACTTTTTTGCCAAGAACTAATTTATGCAGCTATATGTGCCCACCCATCATTTAAATCTTCAAAACTTGCCTCTGGTCCCCGAAAGAAATTATTCAGAAAAGTACTTATCAATTTAAATCATATATATGGGCAAATTATTATAGTTGTTTTTATAATCTATTTCATTGTTAAGCTTTATTTGCCCTCTCCATTTCCATTTTTGTTGTTGTTGCTGAGACAGAGTCTTGCACTGTCTCCAGGCTGGAGTGCAGTGGCGTGATCTTGGCTTACTGCAACCTCCGCCTCCCCAGTTCAAGAGATTCTCCTGCCTTAACCTCCCACGTAGCTGGGACTACAGACATGCACCACCATGCCCAGCTAATTTTTGTATTTTTAGTAGAGACGGGGTTTCACCATGTTGCCCAGGATGGTCTCGATCTGTTGACCTCATGATCCGCCTTCCTCGGCCTCCCAAAGTGCTGGGATTACAGGCGTAAGCCACCACACCCGGCCTTCCACTTTTGAAGGAAGAATTGTTTTATCGAGATTCATGAAATTGGTCTTGTTTTTATGTACATTAATATTGAAACAGTGCTCTGGAGGGAGCAAACTACACTTGGAGGACTATATTGCCAGCATTACTCTCTAATCTTCCCATACTCCATTTAATTCAAGGTTTTCTCCCATTCTCCTCATTTTTCTTCAGCCCCAACAACATGAATAACTATTTATTTATTTCTGACCAGATTGTGTTTGCTGGCTTTGACATGCTTTCAGCTGCTTTCTGATACCAGACAATTTTTCACCTGTGTTTTTTTGTTGTTGTTGTTGTTGGGTGCAAATTTAAAGTTATTTGATTCAGTGTTTTATTTTCCATTTAATATTATGTTTATCAACTGGAGCAATTAGAGCAGAATACTAATGATACCACCAGGAGAGGATGGCGTATTTGCCACATTCTACATTTTTTTCAACAAATATAAAATACCTTGGCTGTTTGAAAGAAAATCAGGCACAAATTATCACTGTAAATTGAAAAATCTATTTAATAATTTCGTTATTTTCAGGTTAATGTATGTAAAAACTTAGCATAAATTGTTTGACTCAGATACTGAATGTTATAATCCTTGTGATTCATTCATCGAAATTTATCTTTCTAAAAACTAGTCTAACTATTACAAACATAATTCTAATGTAGTGCTACAAATATAATTCTAATTATCTCTACTTTTCCAGTTTTTGGAATGAAACCAAATACCAACAATTATCAATATCTAAAATGGTATCAATATTCTGAATGAGAAATAATCTCACAATAATATAAGCAATATAAGTGCCTCCTGATAGATATGGTTTTTTCACTATTCAACTTTTTTTCTTTATTTTTCTTCTAGCCAATGGTGAAAATAAAAGTAAAATATTTTATCTGTTATCCTTTTGGTAACAAATTACTTAAATTTCCTGTACTTTGTAGATTGATTTTTTTGGTAATATTTCTTCATTTAATGTAACTTAAAAATGAATCGATATTAAGAGTTAAAGATTTGCTATGGTGTGAATATTTGTGGCCTCACCACCAAGATTTATATGTTGAAATCCTAACTCCTAAGGTGATGGTTTTAGGAGGTGGGGCCTTTGTGAGGCGCTTAGGTGTGAAGGTGGAAATCTCATGAATAGCATTAGTGCTCCAGCAAGAGATCCTCAATGAAGACCTTTTGCCCTTCTGCCATGTGAAGACACAGCCAGAAGGTATCATCTATAAACCAGAAAGAGGGCCCTTACCAGACATTGAATCTGTTGGCACCTTGGTCTTGGACTTCCCAGTCTCCAGAACAGTGAGAAGTATATTTCTGTTGCTTATAAGCCACCCAGTCTGTGGTCCAATCATGCATAGCTTCAACTTCTGAGAAATGCATCATTAGGCAATTTTGTCATTGTGCAAACATTGTAGAATGTACTCACACAATCTTAGATGGTATAACCTTCTACATACCTAGGCTATATGGTAGGGCCTATTGCTCCTAGGTTACAAACCTGTACAGCATGTTATTTTACTGAGTACTGTGGGCAATTATAACACAATGATAAGTCTTCGTATATCTAAACATAGAAAATATACAATAAAAATACAGTATTATAAACTTATGGGACTGCTGTTGTCTATGCAATCTGTCATTGAAATGTTTTCATGTGGCACATGATTGTAGTTTGCTATAGCAGACTGAACAGATAAAAACTAAAATGTTTTACCAACACTGTCCATATACTTACGTGTAAGCTTATTTCATTTCCACTGGATAAACAATTGATTGGATATTCTTTTCCTCCTCTTTAAAAATAATTTTTTAAAATGGTCTTAAACTAGATAGGCTGTAAGTCCCCTTTAACTTATAAATTTCATTTTATACAAAGATGTTTTACAAGAAATGTTATAAAATTAGCAGAAATCTGACACATTTCAAGTGACCAGGCATTCATTGAAAAATTTGTTTAAATTTTTCTTTAAATTCAATCTATCATTTAGTTGTAAATATTAAAATTACTCAATATAAACAAATGTAATAATGTATTACAATTAAATGTCTGAATAAAAAAGTTAAACAATGGGAAAATGACTTTTAAATGTGCAGTGCAGTACCAGTTGTTCTATTTTCATTAGTTGTCATGTATCTTGCCATGTCCTTTATCTGGTTGTGAATTTACAAGGAACACAGCAGGTTGTGAATTTTTAATAGGCTTTTCTCAAGGAAAGAAAAGGTCAGTATTAACATAAAATTCTTTTTAAAAATGTGTGACACAAATGTTTCACACTGAAGAACAGGTGTTACTGAGGAACTAAAACCACAATAATCTGATTTTTTTATGTTTAAAGAAAACTTAATGTCTCACATAATAAAATAGTAAAACACAAATCAATATATAAGTCATATCTTTCAAAGTAGATGCTTTAAGTTTTTTGGCGTGTGACCCATTGATCCCAACTTCTCAGCAATGTAAACTCTTTCGTTCAATAAAATGTTTGTTTTTTAAATCCAAGTGTTGTTACCTGATATCCAAAACAAAAAGGAAGAATCATGAGAAAGCTGCAGTTATAAAGACTAACCCTTGTCTGATCATTACTCAGTCAATGAATTGGAATAGGAAGTAAAATTGTGCCGCAGACGCACAAAGAATGAGGGAAGGTGGTAATACCAGAACAACTGTTGAAAAATTATGCAGAATAAGAGATAATTAAAAAAACTAAAGAGAAATTTAAAAAGAAGATGGGAAGCTTAGGAAGGGGACTATAACTCAAGAACTTTGTCCTTTGGTCTGTTTCTGTAACTGTTAGGAAATCATCAATATCAATAGACCTGTTATTACTTAGTTCCTGTATCCCATCAGTTTCATCTAGAAGAGGAGCTATTCCCCAAGTCTCAGGAGATCTGGAAATTCATCTTTCTGCCTCCTTTATTTACTCTGAAAAGTAAAGCTTGGCCACAGGAAGAACAGATCTTGACTTTGAAAAACATAAGAAGTGTAAGGTTTTTTTTTAGTTGTATCACCCTACCAATAAACATTTTTACATGCCAGGATCACAGTTTTATGTACAATTAGATTATCCACATAATCTCATTATTACAGTGAATATCTCTTGTAGTTTCTTTACTTGTCCATGTATCAAATATGTTTTCAAAGACCATCTTTCATTAAACATAGGCTAATGTCATGCCCTCAAATACAGTCCTTTTTGCCCTTCATTCTAGTGCTAGTGATCATTTGTTTCCCTCTGTGACTTTTTAAATATACATTATCATTAGTACAAGCTCTAGTGATTCAAGTAAATCGTATAGTAATTCTGTCGTCTTAGGATCAAACTGTATAAATTCTTAGTTGTAATTTGCTTCTCTTAATTATATTCCCATTGGTGAAGGTAGAAATCCTTTCATTTTCTGATTCTCAAAACCACAGTCTACTTGCAAACTCCATCTCTTTGATTCCCTACTACCATGTTCAATTTTCTAATCCAACAGAAACTCCCACAGTATGTGGTCCAATTATAAGATTTAATTTTCACTCTCTGTAGTATAAGTGAAGATAATAAATCCTGCTGTGATTTATATTCCAAAACTGAGCTTTCTAAAAATTAAAATCTCACCATCTTAGCAGCTTTTTTGCATGTCTAACTGATTAGAATAGGAGAAAGGGTTTTAATGACCTCTATCTTGCCTTAGATCCTTCTTCATTCCAAATCTATATTCTATATTTATGCAGTGTTCTTTCTAAAATGCAAAATTAATAACATATAAAAATTTCCCAGGTTCAAACCTCTACTCCTTCTTTGATAATTTAGGTATTGTAAGCTTAACAAATCCTAATTGATTCCTGGGGGCTTTTTTAGGGGCTGTCTTGTGAATTTCCATTTCACAAATGTTTGGATCTTCCACAGAAACTGACTGGAATTGTTGATTTGGATTAAGAAGTACACAATTCTTAGGAGAATAAGCAAATATTTCTCAATTAAAATTATTGAATGCATAGAGAATAAATATAACTGTCTACTGTAAACCATAACAGCTCATCAAATTAGTGATAATATCAATAATTTTTCTTGAATTATTTTAATTCTCAGATAGAACAAGAGATATGCAGTGCTTAAATCTGTAACTTGGAAAATTGCCACTGTGTTGCACATGCATATAATTGGAAAGTTTCCCAGCAACTATGTACATTTTCAGTTCCTGTAAAGCATCAGTCTTGTGACTTTTTTTAAGAGTGGTTTCCTGGATAAAAGTCACATGTTACTTCGGAAAGCTTTTTAGTTAAAAGGAGTTATTTCCTGAGTTTCTCAACCTTACATTATTGTTTATGAATAGCTAAAAATGTAGTAAGAAACTATTTGTTACCTGACTTCTTTATCTTTTTCTCCAAAGTATATGCCCATTTGGGGTTTTCTTAATCTATTATATCTGTATTAATAAGTAGTTTATCCAGAAATGTAGTTTTATCCAGAGTTGATGGCTAGGTGCTAATTACTACTTCCATTAACCAAAAAGTAGACTGCTTTTATAGACCCAGTGATAACAAGTAATAGCATGCATTAAAGATAAATACACATAAAATTTTATTTATTTTAAATATTTTTGGTGTCTACATAAAAATGTTTTCAGGGGCAAGTTCATTGAAATAAGTTCTCATAAGTAAAAAAGAACCTTTCAATTAAATAAACAAAAGTCTTCTTAAATAGGACGTAATTAGTTTAAAATTCTACACTTAATTAGATGAAAATGAGTGTTGGTGTAAGTAAAGAGCAAAAATGAAACTTATTTAGGTAAATACGTAACTCTATGTATTTTTTCATATAATTGAAGATTATTGTCTCGAATTCTCAATTCTGTAGGCTGTAGATCAGTGTGCCTATTCTGATTTATGTCTAGATTTTATGTAAATATTAAAACATAAAACATGTCTATAATGATGTCTTATAATAAATATTTTTGTAGAAATTAAGATCTACAGTTTTAAAAATATTTCTTATCAAACATGTAACAACATAAAAATTTGTTGAAGCATAATCTCATTGCACATAATAAAACTGTGATTCTAGCATGTAAAAATGTTTATTGGTAGGGTGGTAACACTGAAAGAAAAACCTTACACTTCTTATGTTTCTCAAAGCCAAGATCTGTTCTTCCTGTGGCCACGCTTTACTTTTCAGAGTAAGAATTCTATATAGGGCAGGAGGTATACCCATCTGGCAACTGCCTGTCCATTTCCAGAATTCTCAAGGTCATTGGGCCCATTATTTCCTGCCCAAACATTCCGGAGCTTGCTTCTAGGTTTTAGAAGAGGCTCTTCTTTAAGTTAATTGCCCAAAGGTTAGACTCAGTCACTAGTACAGTAGTATATGTACTCCTAAGCCTGTTGGCTAGCCTTAAGGGCATCTGTTGAAAAATAACCTAGATGGAATTTGTTCATGACACATGAACTCCTGGACTGGCATTTGCACTAGGATGGTGTGTACATTGGGCTGAGATGTCCACATGAAGGCATGCAAAGCTCTTTGATGTGATGAAGTGATTCTCAAAGCTTCAGTGTGGTTATGTTACAGGCTCAGGAAAAGAAGCAAGACACAGGCCTTGTATTGCCTTGTTCCTGCACAGAATTTGTCCTTGTAGGTTTTTAAAAAGGTAGATTTGACAAGGCAGGAGGCTAGAACATATTTTATTTTATAGTTCATTAATTTTATTTATAACTTTAAAATTTACAGACATGTGTTATGTAGATATCTATCTGCTCTGAGTACTACAAATATTTGTGGGGTAATCGCTGTCTATTGTATAAACCAAAAAATAATGTATGTTGTTTTTAAAGTAAGAACTTTGTCTCCTACAGCTTTGCTTGTCTTACAGTTCTTAAGACATTACTAATTCATCAACAAAAATATGATAGCTAATAACAAGTTTATAGCAGATTTTGTTTTGCACCATTTAAGAATAAAATAATCTTTCATTCACAGAAAGAGATGAGAGAGCAATGTTTACACCCACCTATCAAGACTGATATCTTATATCTGGGACAGAATTTATTTGCCCATAAAAATGAATATTTACCAAGCAAAGACAGGAGCTTGGTTTAATTTTATTACATTTTTTTCATTTAGAATAAAAAGTATCCTGATATATAAAAGGCTATTCATATTCTTTAAAGTGTATAAATGCGTGTGATCAAACTTATTCAGCTCTCATTTCAAGAAGTAGGATAGCCGACCCCGTTGCTCAGTGATGAGACATGAAAGACCTTCTGCGAATTCTTTCAGCATCCTGCACCTTTATACATGATCATGGATATACTCTTTTTTATTTCCCCTAGCTACATTCAGACCAAGATAAAGGAGATGGATCACTCAAATATATCTTATCTGGAGATGGAGCTGGTACTCTTTTTATTATTGATGAAAAAACAGGTGATATTCATGCCACAAGGCGAATTGATAGGGAGGAAAAGGCCTTTTATACTCTACGCGCACAAGCTATTAACAGAAGAACTCTGAGGCCAGTAGAGCCAGAGTCAGAGTTTGTGATCAAAATTCATGATATCAATGACAATGAGCCAACGTTCCCAGAAGAAATCTATACAGCTAGTGTTCCCGAAATGTCTGTTGTAGGTAAGTTCATTTACAGCGTTTATGATGGTATTCAAAAAGTGTTTTAAAAATCAAGAAATTCTTATAATAGTATAATCAATTAATTGAAATCCTCTTTGATTTGCTACCATGAGTACATATTTATTTATTTTTTCTTTTAGGAGACAATCAGAAAAAAAAAGATCAATGCAATTTACACTTCCTACAGATTTGTGAATCTTTATAATACATATAGGTAGACACTCTCCTCAAAAATCAAGAAAATATCATTGAACTTCAGTAGAAAATTGTGAAAATAATTTTTTTGTCCCTTGGATTCAGATAAAAGTTGTATAAATTTCTGATCCCAAATATAATATAAATACATTTAGAATACCATAGAGGTTATATAATCTTCACATATACTCTAGTCATAATTTACCGAAAAATTTCATCTGGAATATGTACTATCTACATATTTCAATTGAGGAAATTGATTAGAATTTTTTTATTAAACATCATAAAAAAATCCTATCATTATAATTATTATGTATAAAACTCTGCTGGTATCTTTCAACTTCTTTGAAATCTTATTTTCGAAAAAAACCAGTTGAAAACCTATGGTTAAATACATACTGATACAGAATTACCAAGTTAGATTGTGGAACCTGTAAAACATAAGGCATGAAAAAAGGTAGAAATATAACATTCAAGAAAGTAGAATTTCTCTTTTCAATGTACATAAATGGGAGATGTATCTGTAGGCCAAGAAAATTAAAACTGCATTAATTTTTTAAATTAGATATAGAATGACAGGCAATGAAAAGCATCAGAGAACAGTGATAACATTTTTAGAGTCATATTTTTGGATTTGGTAAGAGAATAGACACTTCTCAAATATGTGTGAAGTTGTTTAAACTGATTAAACAAATCTAAAGCTTTTTTTTACTTGTAACAGTTATAGTTGTACATTTTCAGACTCTACATTTCTCAAAAGCATTGTTCTGGGATTGTTATTTAATATTTACTTCATTAAATCCCAAGAACTTCTGGCAGTCATCTCACTATAAAGTCCTTTTAAATATCTTGAACTTTATTAAATAGATTTTAGTAGTTCATGGAACTTGGGATCATGTTGAATTGTTTCTAAATTTAGAATTTAATCTATTCATAAAATTGTATTCTAGAGCAGATGTTAATTATTTTTAGAGTTAATTAGTGGAGAGGGGGAAGAAGAACATACTTACTCCTGTGTGATTAGATATGCCCTTTACACAAAACAAATCTATTATGTGAAAATGAATTTCAATATCCAACTTGAGCATTTGTAAAGTGACTGTATTTATTATATTCTGTATGCTAGAATTATTTATTGCATGCATAAAAATAGACATGTTGACTAAATAAATATTATGTATTTGAACTCAGAGTTTACCTGTAATAACACTATATATCTACATATTCATCCAAATTATATATGAAAGTTTCTTTAAGAGGTCATGATTAAAGCCAGAAATCATTCAAGTCTTCAATGAAAACCAGTGCTTTTGCTCCTCCTTCTGGTACTGTGCAGAACTAAGCTGAATTTGGATACTTCAGGTACTTCTGTGGTGCAAGTCACAGCTACAGATGCCGATGACCCTTCATATGGGAACAGCGCCAGAGTCATTTACAGCATACTTCAAGGGCAGCCCTATTTCTCTGTGGAGCCTGAAACAGGTCAGGAATCATGAATTGCTGTTTGTTCATTTGATCATCTTTATGACCTTTATCAGTAGAAAGACCATGGGAGAATAAGAACAAAACCTTAACATTAATACTCACAGATGAGTGAAGACACAACACTTAAAGATATAAGAACTCAAAGTTAAATGATAGAGTGAACTAATGGAAACCTCTGTTTAGATATTTGAACATATAAGCATAGGCCACTCAAAGCACATGTGGTATTGCTAGGAAAGGGTAACACAATACAAATGATATTTCCGCAGAATCACTTTTATAATTTCTAGACAATAAAAACGAGTATCAAAACGTATCTTTCAAAAAAATCACTAGCTTAAAAATACTTTTTGTGGACTTAATAAAATAACAATGGAGATTTCAGTGAAGATAATGGAAGTTTTTTTATATTTTCTCAAGGTATCATCAGGACTGCTTTACCGAACATGAACAGAGAAAACAGAGAGCAATACCAAGTGGTCATCCAGGCCAAAGACATGGGCGGCCAGATGGGAGGCTTATCGGGGACAACCACTGTGAACATCACGCTGACAGATGTCAATGACAACCCACCACGTTTCCCCCAGAGTAAGCACCCTTTAATGGTCATTCTGCCGGGCAAAAGATTTAGAGTAAAAAAAGACAGACAAAGAAAGAAAAAGAAAAGAAAAAGCAATTGTCATTCATTTAATTTAAAACATATTGAAAATGTGATACAAAAGTAAACAAAAGGTGTACATGCTGATGAACTCACTGTTATTAAAAGATAAAATTGAATATTACAAGCATATTTCACTCAGAGACAGGAAGACCTATGATCCCAAACCTCTTCATATGTGAGCCTGGCATCTGTAATTGTAGTTTAAGAACTGTTTCTTTCAGCTAACAAAAGGAAACAATGTTTATTAGAAAACAAAGTCATAATTTTACAATAAATATGTTTGTTTCTGTTTCAAATTAAATAAAGGGGAACCTAAATTGAGGACAATTTTTTTCGACAAAAAATCTAATTTGACAAATTATAAGAACTAAGCCAGAAAGCACTGTAGATCGAGAACCTCCGAAAACTATCTGACTTGCATTTAATGTTATTATGTGTGGAGTGACAACCTTAGTATAACATTTTGCATTCCTGATCTATGCATAGATCTATTTTGAACTGACCTCTCAAATTCTTAAAATAGATTAGGAATAGGTAAAGAACCTTTAGCTCCTGACCATAGAAACACATGCATTTATTCTTCTTTCTTGTACAAATTTGGTAGATTACATGTCTGCTCGCATACTAAAGAGGATGGTATCAAGTCTCAATGGACACTCCCAATTTTTTGCTTTGCTAAAAGATCCTGTATTTAAAGATAGAAATTAGGGTCATTAGAAATGTGACACAAAAAAAAATATTCGACTACAGCCTATGTCCTGAATGTCCAGTATATGCTGAATATTAACCTCTGAATTGGTCCCCCCACCATTTTAGTTTGTAATTTACTTTAAATACCTTGTGATAAAGTATTAAAATTTAAAGGCAGTAGCTTTTTTTGTAATATTTATCTTTATATTAAAGGCCGTTGCTCAGAGGAATTACTGTCTAAGAATTAACAGCATTGTTTTGACTCTTTAAAAGCATTTTTTCTCTTTTCTGTACTATTTTTACCTAACTTTCATTATTAATAGTGCATGATTCAAATTAAATTGTTTAAAAGCATGTATTTGGAAAGATTTCAAAATTCATATAGAATTTTCTTGAGCACACTAATCACGTACCTATATATTTGTGACAGTTTTTGATTAGATATTTAACGTATGCCCATCAGGTCTGCTGCTGTGGTGCTGGGCTCCAGAACTCATAGGGCAAGGCATGTGCTTATGCTTTTTTCAATTAATTAGGTTTCAGCTCCAGGTTACCTTTAATATTGGTAAGAAAAATAAAACCAATAATAATCCTGCATATTTCTTAGAACAAGTTTAAAGGTGTGTGCTGTTTAAAATTTAAATTTCACATTTTACAAGTATTTTTGACCACCTCTTAGCTCGAGCCTTTTACCAGGAGAATGAACATGCAAATTCAGCACAATAAACCATAACTAATTAATTGCATAATCCACAATGAGCAAAACTATTACTGGAGAAAAAAAGTATTTTATCAGTAATAAATTTCCTTTGGGAGTAGTATTATATTTTACATTTTCAGGAATATATATACACATGTGTCTAAAATACAGTCCATTTACAAATGACACATTTAATAAGTAAATTAAATCTACCTCCAACTCCGAATGTATAGTACAATACATTTAGAGGATTTTAGATCATCCCATATCTTGTCTCATTATTATTATGACTATTATTATTGTTATTATTATTATTATTTTTGAGAGTGAGTCTCACTCTGTGCCACAGGCTGGAGTGCAGTGGTGTGATCTTGGCTCACTGCAACCTCCACCTCCCGGGTTCAAGTGATTCTCCTGCCTCAGCCTCATGAGTAGCTAGGATTACAGGTTCATGCCACCATGCCCAAATAATTTTTGTAATTTTAATAGAGACAAGGTTTCGCCGTGTTGCCCAGGCTCATCTTGAACTGTCCCATTATTTTCAAATTATAGATGGAAACATAATTTATGGATTTTTATTTTCTAAGTTATCTTTTTTGTTATGAATATTTACAACCTTATCTGACCTTTGGGAACACACATTCATGAGAATTAGAATGTTATTTGATTGTCTAAATCATATAACGTCTGGAAAATTGTATTTCATATTGAATGTTATTTAAATAAATAGACAATCTTTGGAGGGAGTTCTACAGTTCATGAAGCCTTTCATATGTAGCATATCATTGAAACCTCACAACTAATCTATAGACACCATTACTATTATTATACCCAAAGTGTAGAAGAAAAGGAGGCTTAGGATAGAAATGATAAAGCCACATAGGAAAAGTTTTCAAAAAGCAAGAGACATTTATTTGAATTATATGTTTTTCTTTAACCCAACATTACCCTTTAAATATGTCATCAATATAAAACATACTCAAATATTTTAAATTTTTTTATCTAATTCTTAAGCTTATATCAAGTTATCAAGTATTTTCAACTTACATCAAATCTCATTTCAAAAACTACATTTGTAGTCATAGCTATATGACGGTTAGTGGCTTGGCTAGTGGCTGCCATATTGGATAGCTCAGCAGCAGGCCCTGCAGTCATCCTGTGTGAGTCCCAGTAATTTTCACTCAGTAGGTTTTTCACTTGGGTCAGTTAAACTGACCATCTATTTTTCATTGTCATCAGTAACACTGGATAGCAGTCTCTTCTTTGCGGAGTAATCTAAGACTAAATAATTTAATATCTAGGAAGCATGGACTCAGTGGCTGGAATTTAGTGTATTTATGCATCCAATAATGTTGACTAATGCTAGTGCTCTATTACCATTATTATTATTATTATTCAGTATTATAAAAGTTAGGTCACAACTCAAACTTTCCTTTAGGTTGGCTGATCCAAATTCATTATTTCCCTGTATGCTGTATCAACAATCTCAGTCATTTGGAGGAGACAGAGACAAATGAAAACTCAGATATCTTGCTTTATTTTTTCATTTATTTTATTGTGTGGATTTATAACAATGTTTCTCATTCAGTGATAATTTTGCCCTCCCTAGCCATGGCCCTGGACATTTGGCAATGTCCCAAGACGTTTTTGATTATGTCAACTGCCAAGTACTACTGGAATCTAATGGGTGGAAGCTAGGGCTGCTTCTAAGCATCCTTACAATTTTAATGACAAAGAGTTATCTGGCCCAATATCCCAGTAGCATCTAAGTGAGAAATTTTGATGTCATATGAGGGGCAATTCAAGTACATCACAAATTCATTGATATAAAAATATTTATTGAGATCACCCTTGCACCAAATACCATTGATATGGTTTGGCTGTGTTCCCACCCCAATCTCATCTTGAATTGTAGCTCCCATAATTCCCACGTGTCATGGGAGGGACCAGTGGGAGGTAACTGAATCACGGGGGTGGTCTTTCCCGTGCTATTCTTGTGATAGTGAATAAGTCTCATGAGATCCGATGGTATTATAATTGGGAGTTCCTCTATACAAGCTATCTTTCCTGCTGCCATGTAAGACGTGACTTTGCTCCTCATTCACCTTCCACCACGTTTGTGAGGCCTCCCCAGCCATGTGGAGCTGTGAGTCAATTAAACGTCTTTCCTTTATAAATTACCCAGTCTTGTGTATGTCTTTATCAGCAGCATGAGAATAGACTAATACAGCCATTTTAGAAACTAAGTACAAGTATATGGTGTTTGTCAAAATAGCAACAAAAAGCCCTGGTTTGTATCCCTATTGCCTTTCATTAAAGCAGGGGAGACAAATCATACATAAGTAAAAGCATCAGTGACTGGCAAGGGGTTGGTTCAGACCTGTATAAAAAGAATAACATGTGAGACAATTCCAATGTAAGCAGGATTTGGTGACTGGGGAAGGGGGAAGGCTAATAGAAGCTGTCATTCAAAAGGTGATATTTCACCTGAACACTGCAATATAGAGTGGATCTAGCCACCAATAGAGGGAGAAATCCACTAAGCAAAAAGATCAGCATGTGGGAAATCCTGAGGTTGGAAATTGAAGGGAGTCTATCCACAACTGAAACCTCCTGTGGCTGGAACATTCCAAAGAATGAGGAGGTTGATGGGAGATGAGTTTAGAGGGCTTTACGCTCAGGGGAACATTGATAATTATAAATTATCATTGCCATTAACAAAATCATAACTGTGTGCCTGATCTAAGTTATCTTTATAGTCTCATGGTTTTTAAAGTATATAAATATGTGAACATTAACATATGCACATTAGTATAATTCTTAAAAGGAGTTCATGGCTTAGAAGGTAGGGATGCACCTTAAAACTGATATCTAAAATCCTAATATCTAATACCTAAATCCTGATATCTAAAAGTATTTTCTACTCTTTGGGCTCTAAATATTAAAATGTATACGAAATAAATGCACTTACTTCATATGTACCAATAACAGTTCCATTGAGGAGGATTCCAGAGCAAATTTTCCTGCTCTCCAACCAAACATTCAATAATCCTTATTTTTTTCTGTTTCATTTTGCTAGTGTTAGAAAAATATTATACTTCCATACTTTAAATCTATCTGCCTGGTATTTTCACTTGAATATTTTTAGTCCTGTTTACCCCTTTTCCTTCCTTCTTTCTCTAAAATCATAAAAAATAGAAAATCATAAAATTATGTAAAATTGTGAAAACTGATCATTGGAAAGGTCTATGAAAAGATTACATTACTGAAACCTGATCATTGTAGGGCTTGACAAAACCAACTGGGACAACAGTATTTGTTTCCAAAAGGTTTTACAAAAAGTATCCCTGAGAAAATGTTACAATATTGATTTTCATCTGCCCATAGTTAGTGATTAAGGGACATCTAATGTACTGAGGCCTGGCTAATTCCATCTTTGCCTTAACACTCCAGAGAATGTCTATTTGAAAAGACTCTCAAATCTATTCAAGGAAAAAAAAAAGGCACCAGAGAAGAAGGTCAAGACCTAGAGATAAAGAGTTTGCAAAAGCATTTAAGCAGGTGGTCAGGGTCCCAGCCAACTGGTTGGTGCCTAGGACTAGACACTAGTTCAAAAAAAAAAAAAAAAAAAAGTAAAAATAGAGCCTTTTATTCACAGGTAGGTGCTTTTCCATACATCCCATCACAGGGACAAAAGTCAAGGAAAGCAGATTGTTTTCAAATTCCACTTAACAATGGGTATGAGCTCCTGAGAAACCTGGCTTTTATAGAATCATGCTTCTGTACACTCACTGACTCACAGACATTATTGCACACAATTTAGGTTGACAAATAGAAGTCATGGACCAATAACATGTACATTTATGTAGTGTCAGCTTTGCTGAGCCTTTATGAGGGAGAAAAAATCCTTACAAACTCCAAGCAAAAGGTCACTGTATGATTGAGTGACTCTCTCATATGTATGCAGGGTATTATGTATATAGATAATCAATGTCAAATTAAGTGAGATTTGATATGATATTTATTATGTAAGCATCCAGATCAATCCTAAATGCACGCAAAAGAATGAATTTATTGTTGTCTACTATATATTTCCCATGGATTATTGAGAATAGTGACAAATATAAGCAGTTTTTCATCATTTGGTTAATGTTAGTTGTGAAAATTAATAAAAAATTTCCCCACTTAAAGGACAGTTTTTATTAAGATAAATTATAGGTGATGGAAGACTTTGAGTATACAAATAAACTGAAGGAAGATCTTACTTCCTGAGAATTTCAACATCAATTCATTATATTTCCCATCAAATTAACACTAAAGATTATACACAACTACAACCAATTCAGAAGCAACTGTAAACAATTCCAGAATTATGAGGAACCTAAAAGAGATGTCATACCTATGCATGCTTGTTTGTTTGTTTTGTCTGAATGCCATTGTAGGGCTACTGACTTTATCTTATTAAATTACTTAAAAAAGGATTATCTGGTTTGCCCAAGTAAATAAAACAGCAACAGTGTAAAAATAATAGTATTAGGCATTGATATAGCATGCACTAAATACTACTGTAAAATATTGTGCAAATATAAACTCAATCTTTACATCATCCGTATGAGATAGACAATGTATTAGGTTGGTGCAAAAGTAATTTTTCCATTAATAGCAAAAACTGCGATTACTTTTGCACCAACATAAATCTACCCCTTTTCATTAGTTAAAAAAACAGAATCATGTAAATGTAAAGTCACTTGTTCATGAAATAAATAAGAAGCAGGTTGCGGATCCAGGTTATTCGGCTTTTAAGCCTGTGCTTCAAAGCACTACACCTAGAAAGATATTGGCACATCAAAAATTTAATCTTCCTTGATGCATCCCACTTTAGTTAATTCTGTAGTTCACTACTTTTACATAGATTATAGGGCAAAATTCAGGCAGGACACACTGAATTCTTAAAATGTGTATGCATGTTGATACAGAGACAGGTAAATCATACTTTTATTGCTTGGTGCTTTTGCAATATCCAAGGACCAAACACGACTGACCTCTTTTCTGGGATCCTTATACTGCCTGGGCAGATAAACAAGTTTGCATGAGACAAGGTCTTTCAAGGAAATGTCTATATGATATACATAGGGATTTAAGACACGTACGTTCAGTGAGCTGTGAGACTATCATAATCCCTGCCTGGTACAAGAGAGATTTGATTTAATAAGTGCTGATTTTCACTTTGTAAATAGAGTCAACCTCTCCTCTACTGGGGATCCCAAGGTAATGTAGGCCCCAGGCTGATTTGCATATTTTAAAATTATCAAGCACTTTTCAACTAGAGCAACTGTCAGGTATGCCCCAAGGAAGATGCTTCAGCATGAGAAAGAAGGGAATAAAATTAAAAATGTCTCTTTTTCCCTGTTTTATTATCTAGAAAAAAAATGAACCTACTTACATGCAAAAGCACTGTTCTACGATTTATGTTCATTAGATACAGTGTGATTTTTTACTGTGACCACCAAAATATCCTCAACTTCTGTCAGATTTTCCCTCATGTTCCCAATGCCTATAGTTTGAAGGAGTTACAAAGAAATTATGTTATTAAAGCATTCATTGATGTATTAAACATTGACCGAAGCCCTACTATGTGCCAAGAACTGTGCTAAGAAATAAAAATGAACTGTAATTGTCTTAAAGTAAGAAATTACCTACAGGATACATTCACAACTAATTTGCATTTTGGTAGGATAAACAGACACAATCTCTCTCTCTGTCTCTGATACACACAGACACACGTACACACACACACATTTACCTTTTTTCATTTCAGTTTCTCTTTTACTGATTGTCTCTCTCACTTTTTCTTGCTTGCTTTTGTAACTATACAGTCATGCACTCCATAGTGACATTTCAGTCAATGACGGACCACCTATTGTGATGGTGGTCTCGTAAGATTAGAATACCAATACTTATTTTTTACTGTGTTTAGCTATGTTTAGACACACAAATACCATTGTGTTACAATTGCCTGCAGTATTCAATACAGCAACATGCTGTACAGGTTTGTAGCCTAGGAGCAGTAGGCTGTACCATATAGCCTAGTTGTGTAGAAAGCGATACCATCTAGGTTTGTGTAAGTACACTCTGTGATGTTTGTACAACAAAATTATCTAACAATGCATTTCTCAGAACGTATCCCTGTTAAGTGAAACATGACTCTATATATTTTGTTTTGTGTATGTATGTATAAATATAAATATATATAATATGTGTGTACATGTTTATGTTTTGTGTATATATGTATAAATATAAGTATATTTGATTATATAAATATATATAAGACTGTATATTTAATTATATAAATATATATAAGACTATATTTATATAAGTATATGTAAGACTATATGTATTTAATTATGTAAGTATATATGACTATATATACTTATATTCATCCATATGTACACAAAATATATATGATTATATATACTTATACATATATACACAAAACATAAATGTGTACACACATATAACTGGAGAGTAATGCAATAAGATTAGTGCCATAATTGTCTAAATAATTAAATATTTTAGACATAAGGGAATCATGAAAAAGAACATTATTTAAAACTACTTCTAAAATGAATAAGAATTTTCCAGGCAAAAAAATAAGGGGCAATGAGGGAAGGAACATTTTTGGTGGTTATTGTTGTTAAAGGGGATAAAATGAATAAAAACAGACTTCAGTGAAATGTGTGTAATTTGGTTTAAATCAGGGATTGTGAGAGGTGAGATTATGAGATAAGACGTTGTTAGCATCATGAAAGGGTTGAATAAAAAGATAAAATGCTGCATATATTATTTAAGAGATCTTTTTTCGGACAGCATCAGGCACAGTTCTTTGTTTTGACCAATTATTTTGATAGCAATGAAGCACATTGCTGGATAGGAACAGCAAGAGTTGCTGCAGTCTGAACTAATGCTGAAGAGAAGAGGAATTTGAGATACATTTAAGACAATTTAGTAACTAGGTCGATAAAAGGTTTGAGGGTTAAAAGGTAAAATATCAATGAAAAGATACTTTCAAGCTTTCTACCGGAAGTGTTTAGTTGAAGAGAGGGACAGGGATTTCAACTGGACTTGAGCATTTTGAATTGAGATCCCTGCAGAAAGATAGTGCTATCTAGTAGCTAGTGAAATACAGCATGTGAATCTGATGTGTGCAAATGAGATATTAGTGAAAATAGACATGTAAAATATCAGCTAGGCTAAATGTTTAGCATGACAGAACCAGGGGAAATACACATTTTCCGTCTGTGATGAACTGTGTAATTCTCTAAGAGAAATCATGTATATGGAAATTATACAAAAACCTACTTGGAACATTCCAGTTAGTCCAGTGGAAAGTTGCCTTAGACGGAACTACTTGGCATCTTACATAATGGGATTCACACTCCTTCTGTATCATGATGTCCTCTAGGACAACTTGGACAGTATCCCTCAGTAGGTATAAATTTAGAAATATAGATGTAAAACCAGTTATGCAAACCTGTTTAGACACAATTAAAGCTGTTGTTGCAGAGTTTTTAGTACACTTACAATTTCAGGTGAGATCCATTGTAAAGAATACCTAGGACAATATATTTATGAGTGACTAATTTAAAGTTTGTCTTAACCTCGCTGAATCCTATATGCTTTTATTGTTTCTACACATTGCCATTGTGTATTATCTATTGATGCCAATTAACTTGGAGACCATTTTTGAGAAATGTAGCAAAACAGATTTCCAGGACTCTGGGGATCCATGGCAGCTTCGCTGAAAGCTTTGTCAAGTTACTTTCTTCAGTAGCTTGAACAGGAAACTAAGACATGGTACAGCATCTCGTTTTGCTCTAATTTAACTTAAATGCCCAAAGCTGAGTTGATGATCGTATCTCCAGTGCTCACAAATTTGGGTTTCTCTCTTTCCTCTGGTAAGAATCTTCAATTCGAAAGCCTCAGTAGTTTCTCAGTCTCTGGTGTGACTTTCAGCTCTCCTCTGCTTTCTCCTAAATGCCCATTTAGCATTGCATAATTTCCTTAACTACTCTGCAGTTCCCTCCAAGGAGCTTTATCTTGTTTTTAATTTCTTCCTCTTAAGCTCATTAAAAAACATCTTTTAAGCATTATACAATGGAATGGTTTATAAACGTGCATAATTATGACATTTTTCTTAAAGCAAGTATTGTTCGAGATTATCGTGCAGCATAGCGATGTTACAATATGATTATACACAAAGCAAATAAAAAAATTAAGCTAAAGTTAAATTATTTTGTTGATTCATATATATGATGCCTTTTTCATCTCAACTCTGGAGAAGTAGAATTTTAATGTAAATGTGAGTAGCAATGAGGGTAGAGAATAAAGGATTAGGATACATTATATCTCTTTGAACTTTATTGGTTTTTATCAACAAAAAGAAACAGCAGCTGTTTGTCGCTAAACTCAAAACCTAGAGGTAAGCAGTTTGCCTTTGTCGCCCTCCCAGTTGATTTCTGGCATCATTTTGTTGTTCTTAAGGAAGTCACTATGTCACATCTCTTAAATCACCTATTATATCTTTCCTCCAAAGTCGCTTACTCACGTGAGCTGTCAATTATTTTTAACTCTTGTACACAAATTGGCAGTATTTTAAATATTCAAGTGCAAAGGTCCTATTGATCAAATTTTGGTAGAAGAAGTGAACAGGAATATCAGCCTCAAATAGTGAAAAACCATAAATGCATCAAAATTGTTTGAAATCATTAATAACTGCCAGTGCAGATGTTGTGTGAGGTTGTCAGTATCAGGATGAAAGTGCACTTATTTATGTAGCCCCACATTTTGCTCAGTCCTTAGGAAGCTTTCTTTGCGATGTTACCTTCTAGATTTTTACTTTTTCAATACGACTTTATTTATGTGATATAGAAATGGCAATTACCTCTCTCCTTCTCACATTCATGCCTTTGTGCTTAAATGGGTAACCATACTAAGAATGTACCCACCAGGAAGAAATATTTATCTGCCTAAACATTAAAAGGGGAGCAGATGATTCAATCTGACACCTGGAAATGAATTTAAAACAACTATAAATTAGAATTGATAGGAAAGCGTACCACATAATTAAAGCTTCATCACTGTAAGATAAAAAAATAAGGAGCATGCAAATAGGTGTCTTTAAGGAGAAATGAAACTTAAGCACTCATTTGCCTTTGTCAGTGTACGCATAAACAATCTATGCCTGCTTTCTAGTTCCCTGCCTACTGCTTGCCCGAAATGTCAAACACCCTTGGAGGAAGAGCATGCTGGTTCTCAATTAGTAATTTCAGTTTGCTTGACAAAGTAGGATACTTCTATTCAACAGACTCATCTTAGAAATAAATTAGAAAGTGTGAATGAATCACTGTTTCATACATTTAAAATATAGAAATTCACTTTTCAATTTTGAAATAGACCCAATAAATCTTGTCCTAAAAATGATTTCTGAGCATAAACATAATTCCAGAGAAAGCACGATTAACTTCTGTATGTAGGGAACTGAATATAAATTTGTTGAATGAATTAATTACTGATGTTGCCATATAATCAATTTTTGTTTTAGGGAAAAATAAATGTGTTTATATGCATGTGTGCTTTAGAAAAAAATTAATGTACTTATGTGCATTCATGCACACACACACAACCCATCTATATTTCTTCAGACAAATTACTGTGGAAAAGAACTGATAGATCATCAATATAGTTATATTGTATCATCAGTAAAATTTTAAAAAATTTAGATTCATTTTAATGTGAAACAGTGGAGCATGATCACTTTCCCGTTTAAGTCTTGAAAGTAGTAAAAATTAACATGAAAAACACTAACTCTCATAAACATGAAATACACCTTGTAACAAATATTGTCTCTGCACCAATCGAAAAATAAAAAACAGTAATAAATAATTTTTGGATATTTGACCAGAATTATAATGGCAAGTTTAAAGCAGACATATTTTCAGATTCTAAGCATGTGCCTAAGAATACAAATCAAACAATCACAAAGAAGTCAAACTAAAAATAAAATGTTTGAGAACAAATTTCCAGAGTTAATATTCACAATGAATTCCATATGAAAGTAAAATTAATGGAACAAAGGAATGTTTTTTTCTTTTGTTTTGTCTCTTTCGGGAGAGAACATTGATATGGTAATTTTTTTATCATAAACTGATTATTTCTTCTATCATTAGGAAATTTTTTAATTTTTAAAAACAATTTTTACTAGAGTATTAAATGCATGTATGTATGCCTATGTGTGTGTATATATACATATATAAAATAAGCCATCCATTCCATTCTCATCTATAGCTCTAATTCTCACAGATAACAACTTTATTACTCTTTTTAGTTCATCTAGGATTAAGCTACAATTTTCTAACTAGTATCTTCTTGTTATTTGTTGAGATATGTTTATACATTACTCATTGACTTGCTTTTATGATTGATGAAAATGGACATCAGTTACCCATCATTCTGTTCTCCCCAAATATAATTTCACTCCCCACCCTCCCTTCCTGCCCCCATCCCCGTTTTCTGTATTAGTTATCTTTGCATATTTAAATGCCATGCTATGAAAGGTTTCCTTTGCGTGTGCCTTTATTTTGTTTTAATATTCACCATTGTCAACCTCCTTCTTTGGCTTTCTGTCCTACGAGCACTCTCACTACAGCACTAAATGTATGAAATTTTTTTTATTGTTTAAGACACAAACTGATTTTTTAGTGTAATTTTCAAAAATGCTATACTGTTAACTGTAAAATTTAGGTCTCATGTGCTAAAATTTATAGCAGAGCATACCATTGCTCCCAAAGGTCAAAGAGAAAAAAGGCAGACATTTTATTTCCTAAGTAATTATTTTCAACTGATGAATCTTTTAGATCTTTTTTAGCAGGGTTATGTTTTCCAAGATATTACAGGCTTGTGTTTTTGATGTGTTGTGTGGGCAGCTGCTGAAAATTTGTTAGTGAGCAGCCCTATAGCATTTGCTTCAATTTGGCAGACCTGAAGATGCAATCTTAGAGCCCTCAGTATTCTGGTTCCAGCACAGGCTGGCTAATCTTCATAGTCAGGGACGCCTGTCATCCCAGACTTTTTTATTTTATTTTATTTTATTTTATTTTATTTACTTTCTTGCTTTGGATTTGAACTTTCTGGATCTCATGCATTCCTAAAACTTGATTTAGTCCCTTATGTTCCTAGAATGCATTCTTTACTAGGTTTCTTAAAAAGATCCAAAGGGACTATGCTGAATCTAAAACCATCTTCATTGAGTTATCACACTTAATGTGGTGGTTAAAGTGAGCATTCAAGGTTCAAAATAGTGTTACCATAAAATTTTGATAATATTGTTCAATAATTTGTGGGATCAGGAGTTGCTGTTGAAATGTCAGTGACATTTTAATCTTTTTTTTTAACACTCACAATTACATATTAGTTTTTTTTGTTTGTTTGTTTGTTTTGTTTGTTTTTTGGTTTGTTTTTGAGACAGAGTCTCGCTCTGTAGCCCACTGGAGTGCAGTGGCACAATTGCGGCTCACTGAAACTCCTGCCTCCTGGGTTCAAGTGATTCTCCTGTCTCAGCTTCCTGAGTAGCTGGGACTACAGGCGCCTGCCACCATACCAGGCTAATTTTTGTATTTTTAGTAGAGACAGGGTTTCACCATATTGGCCAGGCTGGTCTCAAACTCCTGACCTTGTGATCCGCCCACCTCAGCCTCCCAAAGTGCTGGGATTATAGGTGTGAGCCACCTGGCACGGCCTACTTAGCAGTTTTTAAATACATTTACATCCTTCCTTTTTTCCTCCAGCTCACTTATTTTCTTGTTGGATGATGTTAATCTTTTTAACCCATCCATTATTTTCTTAACTTCAATGATTATGTTTTTAATATTCAGTTATGTTTAGTTTAATAGTTTGGTTTAATATCAAATATGCTGAGTTATTTTTTAGAGTTATAGTCTAGTCATGTTTTTATGCTTTTAATTTTTTTTTCTTTTTTTTGAGACAGAGTTTCACTCTTGTTGCCCAGGCTCGAGTGCAATGGCACTATCTCAGCTCACCGCAACCTCCGCCTCCCAGGTTCAAGCGATTCTCTTCTCCTCCCTCAGCCTTCCGAGTAGCTGGGATTACAGGCATGCGCTACCATGCCCACCTAATTTTGTAAGGAGGTTTCTCCATGTTAGTCAGGCATGCAAGCATGCACCACCATGCCCGGCTAATTTTGCATTTTTAGTAAAGACAGAGTTTCTCCATGTTGGTCAGGCTGGTCTTGAACTCCTGACCTCAGGTGATCCGCCCACCTCGGCCTCTCAGAGTGCTGGGATTATAGGCATGAGCCACCACACCCGGCCCACTTTTACTTCTTTAAACATATTTAGCGTGAGCTTGTATGTGGATTGTTCTGCATCTGATGACTCCAACATTAGCCGTTTTGTTGATCGGATTCAGCTAGAGGTTGTTTTGTTTTGGGGGTGTTTGAGTTTGAGTTTTTGTTGCTTTTCTGTTTTTTGTTTTCCTGTTAAATCTTATATAGCAGAACTGTGTTTGCTTCTGTTGAGTGCCAGGAATGCTACCCATACTTTAAATTCTCAACTTGAAAATTATTTGTGGCCGGGCACGGTGGCTCATGCTTTGGGAGGCCGAATCCAGTGGATCACCTGAGGTCAGGAGCCTAGCCAATATGATGAAACCCCATTTCTACTAAAAATACAAAAAAAAAATTTGCCGGGTGCAGTGGCACATGCCTGTAATCCCAGCTATTTGGGAGACTGAGATGGGAGAATTGCTTGAACCTGGGAGGTGGTGGCTGCAGCAAGCTGAGATGGCTCCACTGCACTCCAGCCTGGATGACAGACTGAGATGCCATCTCAAAAAAAACAACAAAAAAAAAGTGATTTGTGTTGTATATGTGTTTGTTTGTTTTAAATTTTCTAGTCGTGTTTAATAAATACAAAAGACTATAAGTAGCGCCACCTGAAAAATTACATTACAAAGATTTTAAGAATACTTTACATGTGCATATATCATCCTCTCCTTTTAGATAGTCCAGAGTTAATTACCGTGTGATAGTATCTGATCATTGAGACTGATAAATATAGAAAGGGACGGAGTTGGGGAGGTGTATGTGTATGTAACTATGTGTATATATATTCATAGTAGAATGTATGTATTCTTAAAAAATATATTGAGCTCTTCTTGTTTGAGGTTTATAAAGATAGTATCACACTGTACATCATTTTCTGAAACTTGCTTTTTTTCACTCAATGATATGTTCCCAAGATTTACCCATATTTTTCCATATAAGTATAGCTCACATTTTTTGCTTTTATATTACATTGAGATGTGTGATTATACAATGATTTATTCATCTGTTCTCATGCTGTTTGACACTTTGGTTTACTTCCTTTTTTTCATTTTACAAACAATAATTCTATATGACCTATGTCTACATATATGTCAAATTACTGACCTCCAGTACCGCAGAATTTGAGCTTATTTGGAAATAGAGAAAATAGTTTAAAATGAGGTTATTAGAGTTAAAGCTGTAATCCAGTATGAATGGTATATTTATGAAAAGGAGCAATTAAGACACAGAAATAGGGGAGGCCAAGTGAACACACAGGGAGGAGATGGGGTGCAATGGTAGTGATACAGCTACAAGCTGGGGGGCACCAAGACTTTCTAGCAAATTCCAGTAGCAGAAGCAGCAAGGGAAGATTCTCTGAGTATGTCCTCATCAGACTTGTATCCTCCAGAACTTTCAGACAGTATGTTTCTATAGTTATTGGCCACCTAGTTTTTGTTACTTTGTTACAGCAGCTCTAGGAAATTACATTTCCCAAAGTCATTGTGTCAAATATAACATCCATCAATTCTACATAATAGTTTTTATTCTACCACATACTTTTAACACTTGGGATTGTCAGACTTAACTTTTATTAATTTCATAAGTATAAAATGGTATCACGTCTTGGCTTTAATTTGCATTTGCCTGGTTTAATTTTAGGGTAGTTGTCTCTGTTTATTGATCTTTCATGTTTCCTCCACTGTAAGTTGTTTTCTATCAACATCCTTGACTAATTTCTCTACTAGGTTATTCTGCCTTTTCTTAGGGATCTTTAAACATACTGTATTTGTAAGTATGTGTGCTGAAACTATCTTCTTCTCTTTATTTGTAAAATGATTAACTTTCTGCACATTGTCTTTATTTTATAGAAGGTTTTAGTTTGAGTATAGACTGATTTATCAACCTTTTTAAATTTTGTTGTTTTAGAAATCCCTTTCAAACTGAAGATCATTAAAATATTGATCTATATTGTTTTATAAACTAAACTTTTGCTAAAATTATTTTATAAATTTAGGATTGCTGGTGAAAACCAAAAAAGATGCAGACTGAGAATTTTTAACTCAAATTTTGCATGTGGGCTGGGCACAGTAGCTCATGCCTGTAATACCGGCATTTTGGGAGGCTGAGGCAGGTGGATCTCTTGAGGCCAGGAATTTGAGACCAGCCTGGGTAACATGGCAAAAACCTATCTATACTAAAAATACAAAAATTAGCCAGGCATGGTGGTGCACAACTGTAATCCCAGCTACTCAGGAGGCTGACACATGAGAATCACTTGAACCCAGGAGGTGGAGGTTGCAGTGAGCCAAGATCGCACCACTGCAGTCCAGCCTGGGTGACCGAGCAAGACTCTGTCTCAAAAAAAAAAAAAAAAAAAAAAAAGTGCACATGTCAAAAAATCAAAATTAGTCCCTTGCAAGATAAACTTAGAAATTACCATCTCACTGTAATCCTTCTCCGATGTAGGTCAAAGCTGCCTTTTGCAATAAAATAACTTTATTAATATACAGATATGACTTAATATTTTTGAGTGCAAGCATTATGTTGAGACATGCAGAGAACAGGGAAAAAAACATGATATTCATTGAAAGGGGAGATCTTGTGATCTTGGAGGCAGGGAAACCTGCAACATTGTGGCAGGGCTGAATTTGCCCTCAGTGGAAAATTTCAAAAGTTTATTTTTACTAAAGACTGTGAATAAGGTATTCCATTAAAATATTAAAGATTTATTAGCTTGGTAAAACTGTCCATTATATATCCACATATGTATATATACACTCATATATTTACGTGTATTTATGTATATGCATGTATATATAAATATATTTATCTGTGTGCATATATACATATGTGAATATGTGTATACGTGCATATATATGTGTGTGTGTATATATATCTGTCTCTGTCTCCAACATGCGTTTGATGTGTTGTTCTATATTTTAGGGTAACTAATGCCATCATTTTTCATTCCTTTTTGGCTTTATGAGCTAAATGTTTACAACTATACTCTCACTGAGCTATATAATAAACGTTTCAGAGATATTAACGTGCCTCACTTTTGCAAAAGACACTTGAGAGAAAAAGGTATGTGGAAAAGCAGCCAGGAAACGTCCTCTTAGTTAGGACAAGCTTAGAGGTTTTCTTGTCTGTACACAGAATCTCCCTCAAGTAATTTTAGACTGTTTTGTGATCCTTCATCCCAATCCATTGTGGATACCACAGTGTCACCCTCTCCCCTAGCAGTTAAAGCTGTCTGTGTCTGTAAAAATAGATATTACCAGGGTTATCTGAGCCTACACTACGAAATCTAAAATGTTGTCAAGGGTGGTTTACATCTGGATCACCCTTAAACCTAGTGAAAACTCGTTAGGTTTAGTTTGTTGTGGAGTCTATCTGCGGCTTCAGTAAATAACCTTGTAGATAACCTAGATTTTGGTCTATCCCCTCCTTGCTTCAAGAGGCCATAAAAATAAAGATAAATGTTGTGAAAATGGAAAATATCCCCAGGCCAAAAAAACTTTTAGCTTTTCACTTACTTCTCTAGGCTCTCATTTCCCTTCAATTTGGACTTGAGTTTTTTTTACTACCTTCATTCAACTATCTTTATCTTTACATATAATCCACAAATATTAATTGTTTGTCACTAAGATATTGAACTGAATTATTTAGCTTGCATTGTCAAAAACAAATATGATTCAATGTATTTTAATCACCTGAATTATTATTCTCCTATTGATTATCAAATTTTCTAAATGTTGGCCAGTGGAGGCAACAATTGGTTTCTTTGTATGTTTCTGTGATCCCATTAATCTTTGATATCTCACTTAATTTTGTTCTCAAGAAGAAATCCTATTCCCACTTTCCCTTCAATTCTTCAGACTTAGAAACAGCAAATCTCTAAGAAAATTTAGTTTATATCAATGTGAAAACAGTGGTATTACTGACCAGTGTTTGGGCGTTAGAATTGTGTTTCACGCCAAGAAATGAAATTGTAGACCTTTTTGAGCAATAATGATTAAACAAAAATGTGCGACTACTTCACAAATATAAATTTACAAAAAGCATGCATAATCAGTTCAAATGTTATAGTGTTGCTATGTAAATACTTTCATTTTATTCTTGTAGAGAATTTTTTCTTTTGCTGAAAAGTCTTAAATACTAATATTAAAAATCATAGATTTCAAAATTCCTTTTCAAGGATGCAGATATGTTGATTTCTAAAATGAAAGTCAATTAACATGTTAACAATAACTTGCTGTTATTTAGATTTTTATATTCAATACATAATTAGATTTATTTCAAATACAAATACTTTCATGTACATATTTTGACATATTTAGACATTATGAAGCAAGAGTTATGTATTTTTTTAATTTTTAATACTGCACTATATGAAACAATTATGGTTCTTTCTCAAGCAGAAGCAACCAGGCATATATGGAAACTTGTTTGATTTGAGGGCTTAGGCGCAAAAAATATAAGATGAACTTGGAACATTCTGTGATGCCAGAAATTAAGGAAGCTTGCTGAAGGAATGATGAAGACATGTTGAAAGGCACCAGAGCCAACCTAAAAAAATCATCCAATGGCTGAATCTAGAAGGATTTGCAGAAAACAATAAATAACCATATTATTAGATTCTAATAAATAATATAAAATAAAATAAATGTTTTTGAATCTATACTGATCTAAATAAATAAAAGCATAAGTAAAAATAAATGAGAGAGAAGGGGCAGCTTTTCCTCGTAGAAGAATTTCAAATAATAAATGTGGAACTGAATGAAAAAAAATTGAAAATCACTATTAGTAAATGGTGGTATTAATTGTTGCCAGTAAGATCACTGATTGATGCTAAAATTAGTGGGCATTTTTTTAGGAGAAATGGGATATTTGCATACACTCAAAATATCTTCACCAAGATATGTATTAATTATGAAAAAAATGGTAACTTAACAAACGAGAAAACTGGCAGAAACACCTAATTGACTTAAAATCATCAGTCCTAAGACATATTGACATCGGATACTCCCTGCTATGATATAATACACTACGAACAGACTGATTCAGTGATAGTCTTGACAAAAATGCATAACTTTAATCTAATGACAAGAACATACCAGACAGGCCCTCCTTGAAAGAGATTCTGCACAGTAACTTGACAAGTATTCTTTAAAAGTGTCAGGGTCATTGTATTAGTCTGTTTTCATGCTGCTAATAAAGACATACCCAAGACTGGGTAATTTATAAAGGAAAGAGGTTTAATTGACTCACAGTTACGCATGGCTGGGAAGGCCTCATAGTCATGGTGGAAGAGCAAGGGACATCTTACATGGCTGCAGGCGAAAGAGATTGCTCAGGGGAAAACTCCCCTGTATAAAACCATCAGATCTCATGAGACTTACTCACTCTCACCAGAACAGGATTGGAAAGACCCGCTCCCATGATCCAATTACCTCCCACCAGGTCCCTCCCATGACACGTGGGAATTGCGGGAGCTACAATTCAAGATGAGATTTGGGCAGGGACACAGCCAAACCATATCAGCCATGAAAGACAGAGATTAAAGAATTCCCACAGATTGCAGGAGAGTGAGGAGACATGACAGTCAAATGCAAAGTGAGATCTCCAGAAAAGAATGACTTTAATGGCAAGATGAAATTTGAACAAAGTCAGGAATTTAGTTAGTAGTAAAATGATTAGAATAGTGTTTGTAATAAACTAAACTTTACATAAGTGATTGTAAACGGAAACATTTTTAAATGAACTTACTAAATATTATACATTTCCATGTGGTACAGCCTGAATTTTGACCACACTATACGTCCACTGGACTCTTCTTCTCCTGTCTGGTTTTATATCAGGGTAATACCATTCTCATGAGTTATGATAGGAGCCCCACTTTTCTTTCTTCAAGAACACTTTGCATAAGACTGGAATTTTCTTTTCCATAAATATTCCTTGAAAACTGTTTGAACTCTTTGGATTTGGAAGGGTAGAATATTTTAAAACATACTTGATTTTCTCTTTTGTAGATTTTGGTATATTTTTAATTATTTTTAGGAATTTTCCACTAAGGCTAAGTACTCAATTTTATTAGCACATAAGTGTTGGTAATATTTTCTAACTGTCACAATCTTGATACTATCTGTTATTTTTAATTTTATTCTTTTAAAATATTCAGGAATACAAGGATTTGAGTTTATCTTTTCTGTGTTAACCTTTAACTTAATTGTGGCATGGTCAGAATATTTAGTTGAATGTGGTTTATTAAAATGTATTTAAACTTGTGTAATAACTTAGTATTTGGTTAGATTGGATTAAATGTTTCATGCCAGCTCTGAAAGAATCTGTACTCTCTAAATGATTTATTCAAGTTGTATATATATATCTCAATCTAACCATCCATATATTTGTATTTGTTTTGTTAAATATTCCTTATATTTAAAATTTTTAATTGAAAACTCATTAATTGAAAAAAATATTGTGGCTGCATTTCCTATTTGCTCTAGCTTTGAGAATAGATACTAGTAATAATGAAGATTTTAGCAGAAATCAAATTTTATAAGACTTTATACACCAAATGAAATTAAACACTTAACATCAACAATAAGTGCTTTCATTGGGGCAGTGATATCATTTTTGTATTTTAGAAAGGTCACCTTTGCTAAGGAGTAATAAATTCATTTATTGAAGTGCCACTTGTGTAAAATTTAATTTTTTAAAGAGAGTTCTTGCAATCAACAGGTTAGAATTTATGATGTGCTGTGGTAGAATCATAGTGAACTATATTAAAAGAGGATGTGGTTATCAGGCAGAGTTGTGTCGAAAATCTTTCATAAGGAAGGAAAAAGTGTTGAGGTAGGAAAAGTTTGTGTGACAAAGCTAAAAGAGACCAAGATAATTGGATAGTATTAATTTGAGAGAAACTGACAGGACAGAGGATCTAAATTATGACGGGTCAGTCAGTGGATATTTTCTTTTAAGTATAATGGGAACAATCAAAGAGTTTTGAAACTCTGAGTAAAGCTTGATAATATGAATGTTTTTAAGGGGCAATGCGGCTACAATGTGGACTAAGAGTGTGTGTGAATTGATTTGATTTGGCCAAGCATAGGAGCTAGTAGACTAGGTAGGAAGCTTCTATACAATGTACAATACACAAATAATTTATTTTATTGTATAAAATAATATACAAATAATGATATGGTGGCTACTACACTCAGATGAACTCTTAGATAAAAATGCTAAGTGCCTGTTTTCTGTTACATTCTTATGTTCCATACAAATAAGTAAGTAGATAATAGAATGCCTGGTGATGACGGATGATAGGAGAAGTGATTGTGAGCACTACTTTTGATAAGGCTATTTTCAGTTAAGCTATTAATGAAAGCTCTTGAGGAGGTCCCCATAGAGCAGACAACTGAAGGAAGAGAACAGGGGAGCCATTAGAATATCCAGGGGACAGGTGTTCCAAGAAGAATCAGCAAAGGCAAAGAGAACCAATAAGATGGTAGCAAAGTAATGAATTGAGAGTTGCTTTCAGTGGTGTGTTACCGGAGATAGAAAAAATGAAGGATACAGGCTAAGGGACCAACTGCAGTGTGATGGAAACTGAGTTTTAATGATGCCTCTTAGGAAATGACTTCCAACATGTAGCGTATGTATATGCCTGTAGTCATTTGTTAGGGCTGCCACAACAAAGTCTTACAGAATGGGTGGCTTAAACCACACAAATGTATTTTCTCCCAATTCTAGGGACTAGAATCCTGAGAACAAGGTGTCTGCTGGCTCATTTTTTCTGAAGCCTCTCTCCTTGGCTTGGCATAGCCCAACAAACAGTCAGCTTTGAACAGTGTCATTTTCTCAGATTTGGTAAACTGCATTATGATAACATGAGGATAAGGGGAAGGAATTTTATGTGAGAGAAATATAGAAATAGTGATATAGGGGCCGGGCACAGTGGCTCATGCCTGTAATCCCAGCACTTTGGGAGGTTGAGGTGAGAGGATCGCCGGAGGTCAGGAGTTCGAGACCAGCCTGACCAATATGGTAAAATCCGGTCTCTACTAAAAATATAAAAATTAGCCTGGTGTGGTGGCAGGTGCCTATAGTCCCATCTACTCAGGAGGCTGAGGCACGAGAATCACTTGAACCCGGGAGGTAAGGGTGCAGTGAGCCAAGATCATGTCACTGCACTCCAGCACTGAGTGACTGAGACTCCATCAAGAAAAAAAAAGAAAAGAAACAAAGAAAGAAAAGAAAAGAAAAGAAAGAGAGAAAGCAAGAAGAAATAGTAATATAGGAAATTAAGTTTTGCCTAGAAAACTTTGAAAAGCCCAGTTTGGTCCATATCTTTCATGGAAGTGACTAAATGCAAAATGATATAGGAGAGACATATTCAGGCAAGACTGTGACAAGCTAAGAGGTCTGGACTTTATTATGTATATTAAGGAGAATTACTTAAGGTTTATGAGCAAGAAGGTGCTATAATCAGAGTGTACTTGAGGTTGATTAATCCATCAGAAATATGTAGTTTATGATCAGGTGCTGAAACATAAATCTCATTAGCAGTAGAGGTTGTTCATGCTGGAAGCACATCTAGGTACACCAAAAACATAAATTTTTGTGTTTCTCTGGAATGAAGGGGAGTTTGTCAGTATTGAGTGTTTTCACTCTGACACTGCAAAGGGCATCTATATATTTTTTCCACAGACTGTCCTTTGTTCCTGCTGTCACAAGTAAGAAATAGGATTCCTACCCATTATGGCTGATTTCATTGGATTTTGTAATGTTCTGCCATGCAGTTGAAATAAGTATGAGTAGTAAATAACTAAATATAGCATAGTAAAAACAACTACATAGAAACATTCAGTGTATATCCTGTGGTTTGTTGTGATTGTGTAAACACACATAAATACATATCTGCCCTCAAAGCAGATCTACGCAATGAAAAAATACACGCTTGGTTGGTGCGTGGCTTGCGTCTCTAATCCCAACTATCCCAGAGATTAAGATGGGAAGATAGCTTGAGCTCAGACCAGCCTGGGCAACATAGCAAGACACCCATCTCAAAAGATAAAATAAAATAAAATAAAGAGACAACATGCTAATATTTTTTAACTTTTATTTTAGGTTCAGGGGTACATGTGCAGGTTTGTTACTTAGGTAAACTTGTGTCACGGGGGTTTGTTGTACAGATATATATTTCATAGACCAGGTAATAGGCCTGGTACCCAGTAATTATTGTTTTTCTGATCCTCTCCCTCCTCCCACCCTCCAGCCTCAAGTAGGCCCCAGTGTCTGTTGTTCCTCTCTTTGTGTCCATGAGTTCTCATCATTTAGCTCCCACTTATGAGTGATAACGTGTGACATTTGATTTTCTGTTCCTGCATTAGTGTGTTAAGGATAATGGCCTCCACCTCTATCCATGTTCCTGCGAGAGATATGAACTCGTTTCTTTTTATGAACATACTCATTTTTAAACCAGAATTTGTCCTACTGTTAGGATTTGTTTCTTACTATTCATAATATGTGCAGACAAAAGCCCCGGAAGTTCCTAGACCTTAATGTTATCCATGTTATGTGTATTCATCATTTGTCAACATCTGATTTAGAGTTTAAGATCTATTATATTGCGTCTTACATGTTTTGCTTTTGGCTATTCTATTGAGAAATCTCTCTCTCTCTCTCTCTCTCTCTCTCTCTCTCTCTCTCTCTCTCTGTCTCTCTCTTCTTTTCTTTATACTTTACAGACACTATTCATCTTCGAGTTCTTGAATCCTCCCCAGTTGGCACAGCCATTGGAAGTGTCAAAGCAACTGATGCTGACACTGGGAAAAATGCTGAAGTAGAATACCGAATTATTGATGGTGACGGTACTGATATGTTTGACATCGTGACTGAGAAGGACACACAGGAAGGCATCATCACTGTGAAAAAGGTGCACAGCATCCATATAAATAAGCATCTGTGTGTTTCAGGAGTAGGGATTGCATTATATACTCTTCGCTCATGAATGATCCATTGGGAAATACTACTCTAATTTTCCAGCAATGTAATTTATACTGTGCATACATAAGAAAGACATAAAGCCAAAGAGCTCCTTGAAAATTTTGACCACATGTTTTGGTTGATTGAGACAGGAAACCTGAAACTTTAGAAAATATAAAAGGCAAGTTAATATATGTGTGATCATATTTCTAAGCCACATTAATAAAAGCCCATCATAATCACATTGTTTTATTTTAAATTGTGTAGTTAATACCTAATAATGGCAATATATCATCCCAGTTGGGGGTATAAAAAGTCCAATGCCATCTATCCAGATGATGAAGCAATAATTAGAGTTACTAATAAAAGAGACAGCATGGATTGGAACATAATTTAATTGTTCACATTTTCCCTTCTGCTGTATAAATTAAACTCTTCTGCTAACATATGCTCAGTGATACAATCTAAAGGTAACCTGTTTGTTATTGTAGCATAAGTGCCATCATTATGAGAAAAAAATAAGGCACATTAAACTTTAGGTCCTAATGAAATGCCATACATAGAGTAACTACACAAGCATTAGTTAATAATTAAACTATTCTGAGATACTTTTGCAAGGTACAAAGTACAAAACCAACTGTTATTAAATGGACAGTGACTAGCAAATGGGAAAGCAGCTGTCTTGTCATTTTTCAGACCAGACAGCAGCAGTAATACAAATAGAATCTTGTTCTTTTTGAAACAAAAATAAAAGGTCGAGGGAATCTGAACTAATAATATCATTTATCTGTTAACAAAACATACATTTCAGAATAGGTGAGATAGAAAATAGTTGATTTTATACTTCTGACAGTTAAACTATATGAATATTTAAGGTATTTTGTTTCAACATGTAACCTATTTACCAAATTACTATCAAAATTTTTTCTTATTACAGAGGGTTTTTCTTATCTTGAATATTGGACATAACTTGAAAGTTGTATATTAGTCTCCAAGATTTCATAATGTTTTTATAATATCATAAGCCCATTACATTGAATGGAAACATCACAGCATAGATGTAAAAAGATAACTGCATGTATTTACTTAGAAAAATTTAGCAGTAGCTAACACCTTTGCACGTGCACATTCACACGCAAACACATGCAACATCCATTAGCCCATTTTTTGTAATGGTACCACCTTTAAAATAGGTTTCAGCTTCCATCCCAATTTTTCCAAGGTTTAAAGTCTCAATTTCCTATGTTCCGAAGTTTTACTAATTGAATGCATAAAGAGTAGAAGTTGAATCCTAAATGAAACATGAAGATTATATTATTTGTGTTAGTCTTTTTTATTTATAATTAATGAACTATGTAAGAGAACTCAACCACAACTTAAAAATCATACTGTAACTGGGTGGGAGCATATCATCCAATTTCCCTCACTCTAATTTGATGATTTATTTTTTTATACAGCCACTCGACTATGAGAGCCGAAGACTTTATACTCTGAAAGTCGAAGCAGAAAACACCCATGTAGATCCCCGTTTTTATTACCTAGGACCATTTAAAGATACTACCATAGTGAAAATCTCTATAGAAGATGTGGATGAACCTCCTGTTTTTAGTAGGTCCTCCTATCTGTTTGAAGTTCATGAAGATATTGAAGTGGGCACAATCATTGGTACTGTAATGGCAAGGGACCCAGATTCTATTTCCAGCCCCATTAGGTAAGTGTGCCTTTTAAAAATGAAAACAGCCGGGCTCGGTGGCTCACGCCTGTAATCCCAGCACTTTGGGAGGCCGAGGCGGGTGGATCACGAGGTCAGGAGTTCGAGACCAGCCTGGCCAACATGGTGAAACCCTGTCTCTACTAAAGATACAAAAAATTAGCCGGTCTTGGTGGCACGTGCCTGTAATCCCAGCTACTCAGGAGGCTGAGGCAGGAGAATCACTTGAACCCGGGAGGCAGAGGTTGCAGTGAGCCAAGATCGTGCCATTGCATTCCAGCCTGAGCGACAGAGATGAATCTGTCTCAAAAAAAAAAAAAAAAAAGGAAAAAGGAGAACAAAATGTTGTTTAAAATGAAAAAAAAAAAAAAAGCAGTTGAAATACATATACAGATCAAGAAATTCTATTTAAAACATTTAATGCGATGGAAGATACAAGAGTCATTCCATAAGTTGTATACAAATATGGTGAGCACAGGCATTTCTAGTAAATTGCCTCTGAATGTTTTTGGGCCAGGGCATGCACAAGCTTCATGGTTTTCTTATTTTCATCATGCCCTTTAGACTGAAACCTTGCTTGTTACACCTGCCTGTCTCCTTACGGTGTTTATTGTTCTGATCCCTAGTACAGATCCAGGGTGCTATGTCAACTCTGCGTTTACATGCAACCAAACTACTTTATTTGTGCTTTCAAGTTATTAAATAAAATGTAAGGTTGAATGAGAGAAGTTTTAAAATTATAAAGTAGGCTGGATGTGCTGGTTCACACCTGTAATCTCAGCACTTTGGGAAGCCATGTTGGACATATTGCTTAAGCTCAGGGGTTCGAAACCAGCCTGGGGAACATACTGAGACCCTGTCTCTATAAAAAATTAAAAAATTAGCCAGGCATGGTGGTGCACACTTATAGTCCCATCTACTCAGGAGGTTAAGACAGGAGGATCACTTGAGCCCAGGAGGTCAAGGTTGCCATGACCTTCATTCACACCACTGCTCTCCAGTGACAAAGCAACACCCTGTCTTTGTAAAAAAAGAAAAAAGTAATTGCAATGCTGCAATGTGGGTTATATTATGATTTTAGAAACTCCCCTAATGCACAGCCATCAAAGTTGAGAGGTTTCTGTTTTATGTTTATTTATTTATTCTGCCTTTTTCAAAAAATATGAGAACATTCTAGAAAGATGAGTCTTTTCAATTCTTGTTTTCCTTCTTATGACAGCTTAAAAACAGATGAGATGTGATAAACTGAAAATGAAAAAGAATCAATGTTTCAATGACACTTGTTCTATTACTTTAAAGAAATACATATATTGACATACACTATTCAGCATGAAAATGAACACTTACTATAATCCATTAGTCCATTTTGTATTTTGGATTTCATTTGTTTTCTAAATCTCTGCAGGCTAATTTTCCTTGCTCATTTTCTATGTGAACCAGTCAAGTATGAGTTCAGATGGTTATTGTTCACTTTCTGAGCGCACTCTTACCTTTCTCCTACATATGCCACAGCGCATGCAGGAAACTTCTAATTTTATATGCCATATGACTTCAACCAGTTAAAAATTCTATAGGGTCTGCGATATCTTCAAGTGAAATCATGTATTTTATGAATACCTATGTTACTTTTTATTTCTATAATTTCACATAAATATGTTTTCTTATATTCACACACAGCATCACAGGTTACATATTGGCAGAAGAAACCTGTACATGCCAGCATGATTTTCCCATAAATGCCTCTTCCCCAATTCATTTACCAACAACTGTATTGCTGCATTCCTTGTGTTTTTTTTTCTTTTTCCTTTGAAAGTTTTATATAACCAATACACAGGCCTAATTTTCTTCATTAAATATTTACCAAGCATTTTCTTGGTAGAGATTCTAAGGTTTAGCAGGCTGTCTTCTGTGTTTCAGATTTTAAAATAGACTTTACAAAATAAAATATAATATTGTTATCTAAATGTATATCAAGTGGCATACTTAAAGTGTAATACCAAGATATTTCTCCACACAATGAAATAGAATTTAAATCCTCCTATGGACATATAATTATTATATGTCAAAATATATCTGTGGATATTTAAAATAAAATAGTTAATGAGGATGCAAGTCTAAAGACTAGGAGGAAAGAATCATCTTGTGTATATTATTATACATATTATATTCCTATTATGTATATGTATATTATAATACTCTTAGGTATAATATTATACATATTATAGCAAAAATAATAGCTCCCTTGCTTATCAATGACTGAGGGTATGCCATTAAGTTGCTGTATACTTTGACTTTATACTAATTTGATGTAGGAAATTTAATGAACATTCTTGGATGTCATTCTTTGGATAGAATATATATATTTAAAAAATATAATAGCCTTACTAATGCAATATGTTGTTATGGGAAGGATCATACTTGACATGCTATAAATTGTGTCATATCTTGTGAATGTTAATACAGTAATCAAAGGGATTTTCTTAAAATGTGTGTTCTGGAAATTATTTTAGAAAGGAAAATGGAAGTTAACACACATAACTTTCCAATACAGAATTGCAAACTATATACTTTGAATCATATTTGAAAAAGAGCTGTGATCTCTGTGTATCTGCAAGATAATGCCACATAATGTTCAAAATTTTGTCATTACTTCTTCATTCTGAACTACAAGAATTAATTCAGAAAGAACACACATGAAATGGATTTAGCAAAATCAGTGATGCATGACAGCAGACGCTTTTATTGATTTATATTTTTCAACTTTATGTCATATTTCTACAGAAGTAAGGAACCTTATTATTTGCCAAAATGCCAATTAATTAGGTCATTCTTTCTTTCATTTAACAAATATTTGTGGATCACCATATCAGATATTAACATGTTTCTCAAGGAGTTCTTAGTCTGTTAGAAAAGAAGACTCAGGATGATAATCAAATAATACTCATTGAGTGACTAGTAGACTTTGAGGCTTGGTGTTTTCATGTTTTATTGTCTGTTTGAGATGTGAGATGAAATTCATTCCTAACACAATGTGGTAAATGGAAAGATGGTGGTAAAATCTGCTTTATGAGTGAAGGAGACAAATGCTTCCACTTTACATCATCATGAGAGGCTACAGGGAAGAGGTGAAATTTATGTTAGATCTTTCGGTAATAAAATAATTATTCCAAGTGGAGAGACACAATGATTTTCTTAATACATGAATGTTAGATATGTAGTTGGATAAAGATAATGGGATCTATTTAAACTACATCAACCAGAATGTTAATCTAGTTTTAGGCTTTAAAATCATGCCCAGCGTACCATGCTGGCAATCAAGTTGCAGGATAGTTTGCTGTTGTTTTTCAAATGCATATAGACTTTATTTGATACAGATATATTAAAAACACAGATATATTAAAAACTCTTATCCCAAACTACTTTTCTTTTCTTTTCCTTTTTTTTTTTTTTTTTGACGGAGTCTTGCTGTGTTGCCCAGGCTGGAGTGCAGTGGCACGCAATCTTGGCTCACTGCAACCTCCGCCTCTGGGTTCAAGCAATTCTCCTGCTTCATCCTTCTGAGTAGCTGGGACTACAGGCACGTGCCACCACACCCAGCTAATTTTTGTATTTTTAATAGAGACGGAATTTCACCATATTGGTCAGGCTGCTTTTGAACTCCTGACCTCATGATCCTCCTGCCTGGGCCTCCCAAGGTGCTGGGATTACAGGCGTGAGCCCCTGTGCCCGGCCATCCAGACTTTTCTATTTTTAAAATATCTCAAGTTAAAAGCAATATGTGTAATAATGATACACATGGCTAGGAAACTGAAGCTACGTGGGTGTTATATCATGAAGCTGCTAAACACCATAATAAGTTGATAGTCTATTACTTTGATGAAACTAACATTGTCTCCAATTTTCTAAGAACAACACATAGCTTCTGGGAATAATCTTTTGCAATAAATCTTTGTATTATTCTTCAGCAGAACTTCCAATAACTGAATAAAGTCAGTTGGCAATATAGCTGTCTGTAATTCCAACTGTTTTGTGACCAAATATATCAAAGTCAGTTGAATGAATATGACAATAGACAACAATTTAAATAACACAAGGATTCAGAAGAATAGCATTGAAATGCAGAGCAGTACCAATTTATGCCTTGAGGAGAATGTGTGTGTGCAACTAGGAAAAGTCATTCAAACAATCTACATTCCAGATCAGCACTGTGTTCTTTCCTGTAATTATCAGTGATATGTGTGGGTTTGCATTTCACTATTTTTTCCTGCAAACTATTAATAATGCTGCCATGTATTTTTTCTTGCCCTCCATGTTCAGATTTTCCTTGGATCGCCATACTGACCTTGACAGAATCTTTAACATTCATTCAGGAAATGGATCTCTTTATACATCAAAACCTCTTGACCGTGAACTATCTCAGTGGCATAATCTTACTGTTATTGCTGCTGAAATCAGTAAGATGAATTTTATGTATCTAACATATATCTAGATATGTTTATGTTTATATATTTTATGCAGTTTAACATATTTTATAGGTTTTATTTTACATTAAAAATAATTCATTCTCATTGGACAGATGAATTTTAATTTTCTCAGCACTTACACTTTTTTTCAATATTTCTTACATCAGTGCATAGAGGGATACCTATACATATTGGTAGAAGATGCAAAAATTTTATTTCTGCCTTCTTGGGAGTTTTTGGCTGAGCCTCAAAATAACATTGACATGAAACAGATTAACAGGCCGGGCACGGTGGCTCACGCCTGTAATCCCAGCACTTTGGGAGGCCGAGGTGGGCGGATCACGAGGTCAGGAGATCCAGACCATCCTGGCTAACACAGTGAAACCCCGTCTCTACTAAAATACAAAAAATTAGCCGGGCATGGTGGCGGGCGCCTGTAGTCCCAGCTACTCAGGAGGCTGAGGCAGGAGAATGGCGTGAACCTGGGAGGCAGAGGTTGCAGTGAGCCGAGATCGCGCCACTGCACTCCAGCCCGGGCGACAGAGCGAGATTCCATCTTAAAAAAAAAAAAAAAAAAAAAAAAAAAAAAAAAAAAAGATTAATAGGAGAAAAGCATTTAATATAAATTTTACATGACACAGGAGCTCTCACAAAGAAAGACCCAATGAAGTGGCAAAACTGAAATGTTTTTATACTAGGATGACAAAGAAAGGCAATAGTGAAAAAGTAATTAAATGTATATGGAGAGCATAAATGAAGATAAAAATTTGTTAACAAAATCTGAATCACTTGTATGGAATTTTCTTGGCCTCACTTCCCATTTTTGATGATAAGAATGTTACTTTTCTTCTGGTATAGAGAGGACATCTTCTATATGGGGGTTTTATGTCCTGCTTTCAGGAAGAAAAGGGGAGGAGCAGAGCACCCTTCTTACATCTGCTGTTTTTCGGGATTTTTTTGAGTACCTTTAACTCAAAATAATCTTTATGCCAAAATGGCATATTTTGCCACCTTTCCGTATATATAAATGTATATTTAATATTAACTAATAAAAATGAGCTTGAATTATAGACTAAAGATATTATCATTTGTGGAAAAATTAAAAACATTAAATTTGTCACTTGCACACTAATAATTAGGATCTATGCTAAATGCTGGTTGCATATGATACCATTTAATCTTATGAACAAGCCTGTAGGTAGATATTACTACTTCTCTTTTACAGATGAGGAATCCCAGGAATATATTGTTAATCAGAGTTCACATTTAATCATATATGCCAGGTGTCATTCTAAAAAAAAGAATTTATTTTCTTCTAATATTTTTATTAACCTCATTTAACAGAGAAGGTACTAAGGCTCTGGGAACTTTAGTAACTTGTCCAAAGTTATCATGTCAGAGGTAGCACAACTGAGATTTGAAACCATGTCATTTCTAGATTCATTACTTAATTCCATAGCTAATTTACAAAATTTTATTCACTAAAACCTGATGGATTCAAACCACATTTGTCTCTAGTAATGAAAGTTCTTGCCCATACTAGGACAATTCATGGGGCCTATTGTAAAATGAAAATGTCAGGTGCTTGTTAAAAGTAAATTAAGAAATGTGAGATGGAGCATTAAAACATGCAAGAGTCTCTTTTAAGGGTAAGGCCCTGTGGAACTGCTTGGGTCACAGGCCCATGAAGCCAGCCCTGCCAGCACATGTACATGCAAACCTGTTCAAATTTGCTAATTCCCATGGTGTGATGTATGTGGTGTAGAGCAACTCTTGACCTGTTTTAAAATAAGCATTAATTAGGGACAGAATCGTTTTTAAAAATTAAGCCCATAAATTTTAGATCTGTAATACTAAGCTGAATCCACAAACACGTATCAAGGTCAAGTTATTTATTTGAAGTAACCACTACAGGCTTTGGAAGGCAAAGCATTGGATGGGGCCGAATCACCAAGTGTCCCAGAACAATTGAATTAGGCTAGACAGATCATCAGCAATGAACTAAAAGCTTCAGGACAAAGTAATAGATTTAGCGTCTTTCTTACATCTGCCCCTGAAATACAGATTAATTTCAAATGATCCATTTTTTTCATAGTGAGATATAAATATCTATTTATAGCCCCTTGTTCTCTCCATTTAATTGCTATATATGGCATATAAAAGCTCAATACCCTGTGGATTTAGCTTTTGATTTTAAGGCTAACTAAATATTTCCAAGTTTTTCTTCTAAGGAAAGCTTTTATTTCTATCTGTATCCACATCCCCATAGTTAGATGTACCTAACATGATCCAATCTGGTCATTTCAGAATCATGATTGTGCTCTCTGCTTGATTCAATATCCTTATTCAAGCCTAGTGAACAAGGAATTGCATTTTCCCTTACAGATATTTTGTGAGATTTAACTTCTAAAGCTAGTTGAAGTAATTACAGTTCTGTAAAAAGCTAAGCCAATTACTTCTTTTTTTAAAGGACTGAATCTTTTTTTTGTCCTCAAATAAAATCAATCTGTAGAACAACTGCCAAAAATGCCTACCTGCCAAACCACAAACAGCCAGGATCCCATTATTCTGTTCTGGGCATTAAATGCAACGAGGATGAGAGGGAAACAGCATACAAGGAATTTTTTCTACTAGACTTTAAACACTGACTTTACAGTCAGTGTGTCATACATCACGCCCTGAGCAGGACACAATGACGTTCAAATGTACTTCTTACCAATATGTTTTAAGGCCTTTCTTCTAATCATTTAATTCTACATTCCATACATACAAATATATCACATCATATGGCAGGCACCACTCCAGGTAATTATTTAGTGCATCATATCACGGAATAACTCCTCTTTTTCTTCTTCAAAAATATTTTAAAATGCTATGTGGGAGCCAGGCGCGGTGGCTCACGCCTGTAATCCCAGCACTTTGGGAGGCCAAGGCGGGCGGATCACGAGGTCAGGTGATCGAGACCATCCTGGCTAACACCGTGAAACCCCTTCTCTACTAAAAAAATACAAAAAAATGAGCCGGACGTAGTGGCGGGCACCTGTAGTCCCAAGCTTACCGGGAGGCTGAGGTAGGAGAATGGCGTGAACCCGGGAGGCGGAGCTTGCAGTGAGCGGAGATTGCGCCACTGCACTGCAGCCAGGGCGACAGAGTGAGATTCCCTCTAAAAAAAAAAAGGCCATGTGGAGAATAAAACATCTAAAATTAAGGTCACAATCAATGACTTAATAATAAACTTGGGATTTTAGGGCATATTTGTTATAGACACCAAAGAGCTCCTCTCACTACCTCTGAAAATTTGACTTTAATCATTGCAATACATTCTGTGGACAATAGAACTAAGTTTATGACTAAAGAACTCTATTATCCACACCGTAGTTCTTATTCATAGAATTCTTACCCAAAGCAGGTAAAACAGTTATATTTTTCTAATGTCTGTGATTTCTAGATAATGATTTAAAATTTCTCTCTTTGGAGGCATGAAAAGGCCCATGGATGCATCGTCATGGCTTCACCTTAGGACATACATTTTAAGATCCTTTATTGCTGATACCTTCTTGCTATAGTAGTGTTTCCCTGAAGAACTTTGAGAGAAACTCAGGTGGTAAATATATGCCAGCTGCTATTCAGTTTGATTCTTCCTTGGAACACTTTATACTCTTATTTATACATAAGCGACAGCATCTGCCAGCCAAAAAATTAGTGTAAGCACTGTTTTTTGAATAGGTAGCTCCAGGCTCGATGCTTTACAAAGCACATTCATCCCTGTGGATTTAGCTTTTGATTTTAAGAGCCTTGAATTATTTGTAAAGACCCTGGAGAATCTCTATATTGTGTTAGGGAAGGGGCTGACGACGGAATTTTTTAGTTATGAAAGTTTTGTCTCTCCTGTCTCTGTGGCATCATTAGAAAGTGAATTGTTACCAACAAGGGATATTTTTATGTCAAGACTTTATATTGAAAGGAAATATTTTGCTTATGTCCACTCACTATATAATTAGGTTAAAGAGCACATTCCAGAAAATATGGAAGAAGCATACCTTCCCACTTTTCTCCATAGCAACAAGTAGATAGCAAAAGGTCCATTTGTAGAGAACCCCATGGCTCTGGGTATTAGCAAATGGTCTGGCATAGAGGAAGTGGAAAATAATGAGATAGCATTTTTCTCCTTTTTATTTTCCCTCCTCTCTCCACTTCTTCTCAAATGCATACCTCTTCAGACTCACTTGAATGGTAGAAAGGCTAATTAATGTATTTTTATTAGGTGAATACTTTATGTGGAGAAAGCATAAGTTTTTAAGTAACATAAGAAAGTGAAGAAGATATAATAATGATAATAAAGATGATGGTAATGATTATAGTCAACGCATATTGAGTCCTGATCATTAAACTGATACTTTCATAAGAAATTTTCACGCATTAACTCCTAATTTTACAAGTAACTGTGAGATTAGAGGTTCTACTTTGATTTATATTGAGTAAACCAAGACATTGAATATGTGGAGTAAATTGGCCAAAGTAACATAACAAATGAGTGGTGAACTTGGGAATCAAAGCAGCAGCTATGTTAGACCCCAGGGCCTGAACGCTAAACCTCGTGGTACACGAACAAGTGGATAATATGCAACAACATATTAGCAAATAAGAAGTTAGAACCTGACGACTGAATCCATGTGGGTTCAGAAGACTGCAGTAAGACTTAAAAGGATTGGTGAAGAAAGGATGCATTTTAAATTTTCTCTTGCAAAAAGTGATAAATACACTTCGATTCTGTCTGCCTTTCTTTATTCTCGCTCAGCCTTGTAAATATATCCCTGCTAAGCAGTCTGTTCTTATATATCATTTTTTAAAGTGCTGATTTTAATATTGGAGTAACATTCAATTATATGGAGAGAACAAGGGGATATAAATTATTTTTAGTAGTAATATACTTCCTATTTGTATGTGACAATATATTTTACCTTTGTATCTGAAAATTATTTAGATTACCTTAAGACGTCAGATAAATTTTACAAGGCAAAATGATATCCACAGCCCATGTTGGTTGAGACCATTTAATAAGGTTGCTGCTGTCCCCTAGCTATTCTGCTATTGTTTTGTTTTGTTTTCAGCTAATTATAGTCTTTATTGCATTATATTGCTCTTCAGCTTTACTTTTCCAAAATGTACACAGAAGTTTAACTGTATCCAAAGACTGAGATATTGATATCATAAAATCTGATGAATGTAAACTGAATTTAAAATGTAAACATACTCTCAGCCAGCATAAGTGCCTAGAAAAATCTATAATAGGAAAAATGCAATTATAACCAATACAGGGTTGTTACTCAAAGCTAAGCTAAATAAAGTGGTATTTATATTTTTATTAATTTACATATCAAAACAAGTTTGAAAATGCATCATTTTTTTTTTTTCTGAGATGGAATCTCATTCTGTCACCCATGCTGGAATGCAGTGGCACGATCTCAGCTCACTGCAACTTCCGCCTCCTGGGTTCAAGTGATTCTCCTGCCTCAGCCTCCCAAGTAGCTGGGATTACAGGCTCTTGCCACAACACCTGGCTATTTTTTGTATTTTTTAATAGAGATAGGGTTTCACCATGTTGGCCAGGCTGGTCTCGAACTCCTGACCTCAAGTGATGCACCTGCCTTAGTCTCCCAAAATGCTGGGATTACAGCCACGAGCCATCGTGCATGAGCCAGCCAGAAATGCATCTCTTTATGTGAGAACTTTGATGCTGTTGATTTCAGCATTTATAGCAAAAGGTATGATTAGTATGCTATTTCTTACTACTGAGCTAATTTGTGACAATAGATTGTAATGCAAAATTGAGCTAGAATGTTGAGATGGTACCAGCAATAACTATATTAATAAAATATGTGAATCTTCATATTTCATCATAAATTTCCCAACTAGTTTGTAAGATAAGTAGCCATATAATAAAATTTTCAAACAGAAATTTGACAGCAGTTGTTGAAATACATTTTGGTGATAAAAGTAGTCACAGACATAGGTTTTATAACAGTTACCACTTACGAGCGAAGGACCTTAGATAAGTTACCAATTTATTTAAAACTATTTCTTCGGGCAACCCGCTCAGGTCCCCTTCCACGCTGTGGAAGCTTTGTTCTTTTGCTCTTCGCAATAAATCTTGCTGCTGCTCAAAAAAACAAAACAAAACAAAAACAAACAAAAAAAACTATTTCTTCATCCAAAAAAGGTTAAAAATTAAATGATATAATTATAATGAAGTATAACAAGGATTTAATAAGTAAGTGTTCTTATTTTATATATTTGGACAATAAGGACGCAAATATAGTGTGAACTCAATTATACTGGCTTGTACTTTTAACATGATTTTCCAAAATAATAATAGTACCCTTGTGCCCAATAATAACTGAATTCATGACTACTTAATTAGGCTCTGCAGTAATTTTCTTTATTGCATTTGCTCATTATATTAGTAGAATGATTGCAATGCTTATTTGTATGTGAGCACTTCATACCCACAAGATGCCTATATAAATTAAATTTGATGCACCAATTTATCTTCCTAAACAATATTTTTCTTCCCCTTTTCCAGACAATCCCAAAGAGACAACACGCGTGGCTGTTTTTGTGAGAATTTTGGATGTTAATGACAATGCCCCACAGTTTGCTGTGTTCTATGACACTTTTGTATGTGAAAATGCCAGACCAGGGCAGGTAAGCCCCTACAGGATTAAAACTCTGGAAAGATTTTAACTGTATGCAAAATATTTTCTTTTCAAAATCCTGAGAGGAAAGAATACACAGAGATGGAAATACTCATATAGAGTCCCAATATAATTTTTAAAAACCATAACTGATGTTTTTAAAGGTGAAAATATTTTTAAAACCATATACCAGTTTCATATTTCCTTTGTAAAGTTCTAATGTGTGAATAAAATTTTATTGTTGCCACAAAAGTTGAAGCATAAGAAAAAATAACTACTTTCAAAATTTTCAAAAACAAAGACAAGCAAACCCCTAAGACCGCCTGCTGTGTCATTAAATAAATACTGGTACCTGCTAGAGAGATGAGAGACGAATGCTGTGGAAAACAAGAGACAAATGTATGGGAGCAGCAGAATATTTAATCACTTTTCTGATGTGTGCAGATACGGTTTTGCATCAGGGCAGCAGAATTTCCTCCTTAGACTTACATATTGCATTTCATCATTACAGCAGCATATGAAGTGCTTAATGACTTGGTTTTAGTACTTTAAAACATTTTTTCTGCATCAGCTTTGTTTATAATTCTGTAAGTCTTTTCCTCAGTGGACTCATTTTGTTGATTGAAAAGCTCCAGTGTATGTGAATGAAAGAGAATGCTCTTAATTGGTTTGAGTGCTATCTTCACAGAAGGAAGCTGCGTGGTATAAATAATAATTGGGAATCAAATGTGTTTATTTAAAAAAAGGAACCATCACGAAACTGTATTATGTTTTGACATTATTTGATACTCTTTATAAACATCAATGTCATTGTTACATTTTTATGCAAATTATATTGTGGAATAATTCAAATTCTTCCTTTTGAAGATTCTAACAAGAATTCAATAGCCTGTCTGTTGTTTGAATATGGTAAAATTGCTGCAATTTGATTCATTTTTTTTAACTTGAAAATGTTATGGAAATGTTTAATTTGGAATATTTAAATGACTTAGTTGCTTCCCACTTACTACTTAATGAAACAGTGCACGCCCCAAAAATACCATTCCAAATCGTCCTCTGCTTGGCAGGCTCAGCATGATATAAGCTGAAGTCTTTTCTCTAAGAGATAAATTACCCACTTTGCTACTGCTGCATACATCGCTCCCTCTATGGTTATTCTATTTGATTTTCAAAAGATATCTTTTCAGAGCACTCAAGTCATTATAAATACTGATTTACAAATGTATTCAAAATATACAAAATAGAAAGTATGTTTGTTTATTTTCCTTCTGTCTATTTTCTTTTTCACTATAACTGGCTCACAACGTCTCCATACCTTTTGGACATTTAAAAAACAGCTGGTGTATTGAAGGAAAATAATCAAAAGATGATTTCAATAAAAAGGGAATTAGCCTATCTTGACCCACCTGATAGGAAGAGGATGATTAATATTTTTTGTTGAATTGGCTGCCTGTGCAATAGCCTCCCATACAGGCAAATTCTAATAAGACCAGTTTGTTAGATGTCACTTCGGTCTCATAGGCTGAAAAATGCCTCGGTTAAACTAAACTGTTATATATTAAGGGATGAGATTCTAGGTTATGACATCCTAGCAGGCAAAATCAAAGTGGTAATTTGATAAAATTCTTGTTCAGAGCCTTTTTAAAATTAATTTGTTAGCTCTGACTCTCCTTCTCCTAGGAAAGCAGAAGAATGTCAGGGTTCCTAGGTGTGCTTTAGTTACTTAAGGTATATCTCAGTCCACCCAACACTCCTCTGAATTAACTGCTCTTTAAGAGTAGCACTTAGAACACCGACATGGACAATTATCCATTCATTTGGTTGTGGACAAAATGAGGTGACAAATAAAACTAATGACCATTCCCTGCTCTTGCCTATTTTCTGATCTAAGTGTAGAATTTCTCCTTGGAAATGTTGCAACTTTTAACTGATGTAATATTAGTAGTCCCCTCGTGTGCCTGAACTAGGCTGCTTGACCCTTCACCTTTTCCATCTCAGAGAGAGTCAGAGGACCTCAGCAAAAGACAGGACAGAGGGCTAGCTGTTTTTGTTTTTCATTCTATCTTGTCTCATTCATGCCTACTCCTGGAGTCAATAAAATATATTTTAAGTAAATAAAATACATTTTAATGATTTTAATCTTCATGGAAAGAATTTAATACCACAGATTTCCCAAGGAAATCTGTATATGCTGCTTATATTTCCCTTCAATAGTATCTAAATGACTTATCAAACCACATGTCAACTAACAACAAATATGAAACCAAATGACAACTAAGCCTTTAAGAAACCAAAAATATCCCATTACATATTTTCCATAGAAAAAGCTAAAACATATGAAAACTTAACCAGTTTTGTCACTTTAAATATCTTAAAACCCATTCATTGTTCCAGACACCATAATAATATGATCACTGAAGCATTCCTTAAGATTATTTCAGAATAGCCCAGTGAAAATAGAAATCAATTCTATGCTTATTACTTCCCTAACAACTGAAAAGGGTTCAAGGGTGCTTTTTTTTTCTTTTTCTTTCTTTCTTTTTTTTTTTTTGTTTGAGGAAGATGCTCCCTGTTGCCAGGCTGGAGTGCAGTGAGTGGCGTGATCTCGGCTCACTGCAACCTCCGCCTCCTGGGTTCGGTTCAAGTGATTCTCCTGCCTCAGCCTCCCAAGTAGCTGGGACTGCAGGTGCGCACCACCACGCCCGCCTGATTTTTTGTATTTTAGTAGAGGCAGGGTTTCACCATGTTGGCCAGGATGGTCTCGATTTCCTGACCTTGTGATCCGCCCACCTTGACCTCCCAAAATGCTGAGATTACAGGCGTGAGCCACGGCGCCTGGCCAAAAGGGTGCATTTTACTAGCACAAAGGAAATGTTCTCATTAACGGAAACTCCAAGGCTTCCCATAGAAAAAGCTAAAACATATGAAAACTTAACCAGTTTTCTAACTTTAAATATCTTAAAACCCATTCACGGTTCCAGACACTGTAATAATATGAACACTGAAACATTCCTCAAGTTGATTTAAGATTATTTTAGAACAGCCCAGTGAAGACAGAAATCAATTATATTGTTGCTAAGGAGATAAAATGTAAATGACTTCTCTGTGCACTTTTCTTCAAATGCTCAAAATGAATACTGGAAATCACTAGTTTTTGTTTGTTTGTTTCCTAATTATGGCAAACTTTTTTATTGGAAATGGACCAAAATGAGTTTGTCTCCAGAACAAAAACAAAACAGTGGATGCTTATAGAAAGAGCCAGGGAAAATAATTTTACCTCCTTGTTGCCAAGTTCTGATATCTGTTACCAGTCTTTACGGCACATTTACCAAAACAAAAGCACTGTGATTTTTAATATATGGTTGAAAATGGAAAGGAAGACTAGATTGAGAGGTAAATTCAGGATATGAAGAAATTGAACACTAGAAGTAATGTCTTAAAGGAAAAAAAAACCTATTATCTTGTAAAGGATGTAAGTGCCTCCATCTGCAGTAGCGAAGTCTTAAGGTCATAAAAATATACTGTAATGTAATATAGATTCTGCAACACATCATTCTATTTTGTTTGTGTCATCTCTATGAGTTTGGCTTACCCCTTTTATGATATTCAAAATGTATAAATTAACTACTGATCTTTAAATCAATAGTGCTATAATATTTGATTAAAATACATTTTAATTAAAGATTTTAATGTTAATTTTTAAAATTTATTATAGATATATGTAAAGATGTCACTATTTGTTTTCTGAACTGCATTATTTTGATCTGTAAAAATAAATTGAAATTATACTTTGTAAATTTATTTTAAGGGAAAATATACAGTTGGAAATGTATATTTATTTTGAAACATTTGAGTTTCCATTTTCAAAGGCCATTAGCCCTATTTTTACATTTCGGTCACTTTTTGTGTCTGTATGTGAATGTTAAAATATTAATCTTAATGACTAAGGATTTCTAGTAGTCTACTGTCTTTTTTGATGTTATTCCATTTATGTCATTTTTTCCTCTTCAATATATACTTATAAATCATTATTTGAAAATGACATCCTTAAGAGTACATTTGACAGACAAGAAATCAGTCAAGAAATGTTTTTTCACTGAATTGACACATCTTAAGTAGTATTAGTTAACAATATTTTGACTTTATTAATTTTAATAGATTTATATTCTTGCTTTTTTATAATTCTTGCTTACATTTAATTTTAAGTTACAATTAAAATTTAGTCAAATAATTATGTTGCTATGTTTTTAAAATGTACTTTTGAAATAATTCAAAGTTTTAAATGATGTTTTTCTTGCTGCTTATTTCTAGGCAATAAATATAAATCTTTGGTCCAATTATATTTCTTGTATCCTTTTGAAATAAATGGTTAGGGTTGTAATTAAATAGATTGCTACCACAAATATATCACATTTTCATTGCTCTAAGACATTTTAAAAGAAAAGTAATCTAATACAGATAGTTGTAATAATTTCTTTATTTCTTGTGATTTTTGACATAATGTTTTTAACTTGAAATCACTTGTTTAACCAACAAGACATCAACAACAAATATTTTCATCCAGCATCCACACAACATTGAGTTAACGCAGTAAAAAGTGTATTGCTTTTAGTTAAACATAAATTTGACTATGTAGGCATCAGTGTACATATTTAACAACTTTTGAGGCCATCTTCAAAATTAAAATATGTAAAAAATATACAAATTGTATTATAAATATAAGTTAAAGAACAAAAGGAAGATAGGTGCAAAAAAACCTACCTATTACATATATATACATCATACATACATATTTGTATATTAGTTAATCATATCATATGTCCAAAGCAGTGATCTGATTATATATTAGGGGCTAAATTGTCTACTTTGCTACCATATAGCGTCTTATGTTTTCTCCTACCGTAAAATCAATCAGAGTTTACCCTTTTAAAATAATTCACACATATTATATATGCTGAATTTTTAAAATACAATTTTATTGAAAGTGTAAGTTAATTGAACTTTTACTCTCAAGGTTTCTAATAATGTTTAAGACTCTGTTAAAAAGTAATATATAACATTACCTATAAAATCTCTACATTCCTCGACCATTTTTCATTTTATTTTTGGGGAAAAACAAAGCATAGTCACAATAATTTCCTAAATTTTTCTGACATTCGAAAAACTCTTCCAGATCAATGTGTAAATGCATATAAAATAATCTCATTTTAAGTGCTATATCTAAATTAATAAAACCCTAAATAATATATTTTTTATTTACCATTTTGAAGTAAAGGGTATGATCCAAAAGACACAGAGATGAGAGAGGGAGAGATTATTAAAATCAAAGTAATACTAAAAAGATGGATTAACTCAAGGATACATTCACATGAAATAAAAGTCAATTATTTTGAACAACTTCAGACAAAATGAAGATCTTAAGTGCAGATTATACCCATGGATAAGAGATATATTGATGAGATATATTTTTCTTTTTCTGCAGCTAATACAGACTATAAGTGCAGTAGACAAAGATGACCCTTTAGGTGGACAGAAATTTTTTTTCAGTTTAGCTGCTGTCAATCCAAACTTCACAGTACAGGATAATGAAGGTAAATTTTAGAACTTGTTCACTATGACTTATGATGATATTAACAGGAAATTTCCCGAGTGTAACCATTGCAATATATATGCCATATCAATTTATTGATCTGAGTTATACAATTTTGTTTTAATCAAGTATTTGATATATTTAGTAAAGCCATCTTTGGCAATGTGTACTGTCTTCAATTTTAAAATAATAAAATATCTGAAAGAGGTCTCTTTATGGATGTTAAAAAATGATTGTGTCTTGATAAGATTAGAACGGCTGGAGATAATTCTTACAACAATAATATAGGACACATAGGGTAGAAAAATGAATGATTCAGTGAGACTCTTAAGCAGACTTCAGTGAGATTTAGCAGCAGCAGATTCACCAAAGCCAAATATACATAAGGAAATGAAAAGAATGAGAAGTAGCCTGTGAGGTGATTCAGTACGAAGGCATTGTTACAAAGGTACTGTTGCAATGGCAAGATGCATGCCTCTTGAAGGTTAAAAAACCTTCTTCTACTTTGTTATTGATTTAAAACATGCAACAATGCGTGAAATTTACCTAATCCATTTTCTTCATGAGTATTGGATTGATGTGTGTTCTGTATGTGTGTAAGCACACACGCACAGATGCACATAAATTAAAAAACACACATTTAGTATGGTTTTTCTCTTGGTATGCAAAATAGGTTTTTTGAAAAGAGAAAAGCCAGTTGTTATCATCTGTAATCTTGGTAAATGATTCACTTATAAAAATGTACCACTTTGAAAACAGTACTGAGGAATTACATGAAAACCTAATAAATGAACAATTTATAGTATATTTCTCAAACTGATTATTTGTCTTATCTATATATTAATTGCATTGTACTTGTTTTTTAGGAAAATGTATATCAATTTTATATTTTACATAAATATGTTTTTATTTATATGTTAAACCTTGGTGATCACATTGGGAAAAATTTACTATCCCAAACCATTTGTAATATTTTAAAATTTGTTTTAGATAATACTGCCAGAATCTTAACCAGAAAAAATGGATTCAATAGACATGAAATCAGTACCTATCTCTTGCCTGTGGTGATATCAGACAATGATTACCCAATTCAGAGCAGCACAGGCACACTGACCATTCGAGTGTGTGCTTGTGACAGCCAAGGCAACATGCAATCCTGCAGTGCTGAAGCCCTGCTCCTCCCTGCCGGCCTCAGCACTGGGGCCTTGATCGCCATCCTCCTCTGCATCATCATTCTACTGGGTAAGAAACCTTAAAAACAATGGGAGCATTTTCTAGGCTCTTTAGTATGATTTTGAAGAATTGTGGCTATTAAAATCCCTCCCCCAAAACCACCCCAAATTTTAAGATAGACATAAATTAACTTTGTGATATTCTTTATATTAAAATACTTTATTTGATCGGAATATATACGAATATATAAAGAATTTTTGTTGTAGTAATAGTGGAACTTTACCTAATGGGGCCTAGAATTCATTCCAGTGTGAATCAAAATATTTAGAAAAAACAACAACTGTCTTTCACCACAATGCAGTAAACAAAGGAAAAAGCAAGAACAATGAATGCAGAATGGCATGTGTAGGAGCTTGGAAATTTGAGACACAAAATTCTTGGTAGCCATGCTGAATGTTCTAATGGAATTAAGAGATCTTCGGAACCTAGGTCCAGTGAACAAATGAAAGGAGACGCATCAGTGGCCAGGACCCCAGTTATTTTATTGCTGGCCCATTATTTTCCTCTTGAGTGGTGTAGTAACAGAGTCTGGGGCAATGGTTCTTCTGAAACATCCTCCATACGGGAATCAAGTAGGGGTTGGAAGAGATGGAAGATAATAGTAGGGTCTCAAACCCCAACTCTGTAAGGTGGACATTAATCAATCTCAATAAGACTAAAAGCAACAAAGACAAAGGTTAAGTTGATAACATTTGTTAGAATAACAATTCAAAAACTTGACATATGAGCACTTCCCATCGGCATTCCTGTATTCAATAATTGCTAACTTTTCATATATACAAAATAAAGTTAAATACAACTTTAACATTAGTCTTAAATTTTAAAATAATGCAGACAATAATAAATTGTAGCAATATTTTTATGATTATAAAAAGAGCATGTTTTTATATGAAGTTAAGGCCTGCAACAACAACAAAAATGGATTAAAAATATTTCCACGTTCTTTATTTGACTTAATTATGTCTACTTCATTCTATAGATGTTTCCACTTTTCTACTTTTATCATAGCATTTATGCACTTTCACTGTGTGTTTAAATAACAGAAAGGTAAATTACTTATGGTAGATAAATCATTAAATGAATGAATTGAATAATTCAAGATTAGATTTTTATGTAGTTCAGGAAATGAGAACGTGCGTATTAAAAAATATATTTTATAATTTGTTACTATGAAATGAAATCCAGAACAAAACTTTTCTCTGTACTACAAAAAATGCATACCTCATTTTATTTCATAGAATGAGAATTTGGTATAATTTTATTTTTATAATTTGACTTACCATTAGTACAACAAACATTGAGGAAAAGTTAATAAATGTGCTTTACAATAGTTGAATCCACAATTGCAAATATGAATAATATAAATATTTATTTGGGGGATTTATACTTTAAATCATATAGAAAACTTGTTCTATTAAAATATGTAATTAAAATGAAAGTCTCTAGTAAGAATAATATTAATGGTAGTAAGTTTTTAGTACGTGTTTACTGTGTTTCAGACTCTCATTGGCACTTTGCCATGACAACCTTTTTCACTTGACAAAAAAATGTCTGGCATGTATGGTGTTATTATTTTCATTTTATGCATAATGAAACGGAAAATTCAAAATATTCAGAACATATTCCAAGGTCACACAATTTCTGAGTGGTTGAGCTAAGGTACCTTGCTATTAGTCAGTGTATACAGAGATTCCCAGTGGAATCTGTATTTCCACTTTTATTATGGCTGGATGGAGGCCTCACTATCTTACATATTCACTAAAATCGTATTAAAATAGATTTTTACCTGGTTTACTTTCCCCCCAAACAATGATAATTCATTTTATAGTCATGAGCAGACTGCTTTTAACTGCTTTTGAATTAAAATCAGATTAAGCATTCTCTCTAGTTTTGTTAGTTTAAACCTATTTTTTGTGAGTATTTCTGTTACCCTAATCAAAAAACATTCAAAAAAGAGGGAAATGAACTTGGACTTGGAGCGAATTGTAATAAGTTGTCATTATCCTCAACATTAGAAAGTTTTTGCTGGGCAAGGTCATTTGGTTGATGATAAATAATCTGAGATTTAAAATCTTTACACATTTTCATGTGCATAAATATATGAATTTAGGCAAAATAAAATGGCATATTTTCTTAAAAGCTTGAAGAATACACTTTTTAAAAAGTTCTGCCTATTTGCTTTTTAATTGCTTGGGCAAGAACACTTATCAATAGCTAAAACTTTCTTTTTCATGACATTAAAAAAGTTTATTGTTTGCCTTCTCTCACAGGTTGAAGACAAACTAGTCTGTGCATTCCATGTTAATAAAAAAGAAAACATAACTTAATATCCCTTCATATAATAATGTAATTAATTACATACTCTTTAAATGTGTGTTCTGTGTGTTCTAAGAAGCTAAATAAATACTTGTATCAATATTTCTTCATATATATATATCCAGTAAGAGTCTTCCCATCCTTATCTTATCTAATTGAGTTCACACTTTTTCCCTCAAATCCTTTTAAAGGTTGAGGATCAAAATGTTTGGGAATAATGAGTAAGGGTGAGAAACTCTAATGCAATCAGAAGAATTTGATATTAACTTTCTCTTATCATTTATGCTATTACCACTGTTTTGATTATGAATATTGTCTCTCATTGAAGTGGGAAAATGTTCTTTTTGAGCAGTGCACTTTTCTATTATGAATCTAGCCAAGATTCATACATTTTTGGGGGGAGTTAGTTCAGTATTGCAATTTGAGAAATTTACTCTTTGCCATCTTATAACCTAACAATTTTTTTTGGGGGGGGGGTCTCATGCAAGGTATATATTTTCATGGAAACATTAGGAATTTCTAAATTCATCTAACTCTAACTAATCTGTTTTTTTTCCAATAATTACAGCATTCTTTTAGTAAAGTAACAAAAATATGTAAGTTCATCAGCAAAGCTATTTAACAGAAGTCAGTACTCAGTATGTTGTGAATGATGTTGCTTTTTGCTATTGTGTAAATGCTTTGAAAAAAGTAAGCATCGTGTTGTCCTTTTAAATTGTCTTACTTGAAGCTGAATTCAATTTGTGTAGATTTATACACACAAATTTTATATAGTATCTTATGTTCCTTATTTAATGCAGAAGATAAATATTATCTGTACAATGAGGAACTAAATGGTTCCTAGGAAAATAAAGTGTAAGTCACTATATTTAAGGAATATTTTACGTTGTTTTAAAAATAAATTAGAAACACTGATCTTAAACACCACCCACCCTTGCTAAACCCTTCAGCGTCTCCCCTGACACCTCCCCCAAACTGTGGGAAGCACAAAATTAATCTGAAAGTCTAAGCTGTTATAGAAAGCCTGAGTAACTTAAACTCTTTTATAGTATTTCCACTCGTTATTTATAGTGTTTTGAACGGACGTCTAATGTATCTTCTTGTCTTTTTTCAAGTTATAGTAGTACTGTTTGCAGCTCTGAAAAGACAGCGAAAAAAAGAGCCTCTGATCTTGTCAAAAGAAGATATCAGAGACAACATTGTGAGCTATAACGATGAGGGTGGTGGAGAGGAGGACACCCAGGCCTTTGATATCGGCACCCTGAGGAATCCTGCAGCCATTGAGGAAAAAAAGCTCCGGCGAGATATTATTCCAGAAACGTTATTTATTCCTCGGAGGACTCCTACAGCTCCAGATAACACGGACGTCCGGGATTTCATTAATGAAAGGCTAAAAGAGCATGATCTTGACCCCACCGCACCCCCCTACGACTCACTTGCAACCTATGCCTATGAAGGAAATGATTCCATTGCTGAATCTCTGAGTTCATTAGAATCAGGTACTACTGAAGGAGACCAAAACTACGATTACCTCCGAGAATGGGGCCCTCGGTTTAATAAGCTAGCAGAAATGTATGGTGGTGGGGAAAGTGACAAAGACTCTTAACGTAGGATATATGTTCTGTTCAAACAAGAGAAAGTAACTCTACCCATGCTGTCTCCACTTCACAATATTTGATATTCAGGAGCATTTTCCTGCCAGTCAGCACAATTTTTTTTCTCATTTACTTCTTAATTTGTTCATTAATTACATTAATTCTTTCCTGTAGGATGTCTCATGGAATATATATGACATTTTATTTAATCACTTCCAAGAGCCAAAGCTATGGAAATACAGTGTTGTCCATCTTAGTAAATAAAAGATAATTTCAGAAACATGAACAGGATAGTTCTCCCTTAAGCAACCTCACAAACAAGCCGCTTCTGTTAGGTACATGTCCTGCCCTTGCAAATGAAGCTTTTAAAAAGGTGAAGAAAAATTTTACAGTATATCCTGTTCTGTACATTAAATTAAAAAAACAAAAATGTACATGTGATGTTAGTAGGTGTGATATGCAACCTGGTATACAGACATTTGTGCAATTTCATTTCATCAAATTCTATCTGCTAATGTTTTATATTTATATTTTTGTATTTATTTTTAAAAAAATAAACCAGTTTTTACAACTACTTTGTCTGTAGCTTCTTTTTTTCCCTAGGATGGAAGACTTTCTCCCTGAACTAAATATCTTGATACAAAATTACCTTACATACAGGTAAGAACACAATGTCATTATCATTAGTATTGAAAGTGCTAACCAAATTAATATGATTTAGGCAAGAATTATTTTTCCAGCGAGTCTTGATATGCTATGATATGTGGAAAACTCTTCATATACAAAGTAATAGTCATTTATAAAACACATAAAAATTTGCCATTTAAACAAACTTAAAACATGGCCATCCTTATGCTAAATATCTCAAGACACCAACAATGCAGTAATTTCATTTTGTTTATATTCACTAAAATCATACCTGAAAGAATAAAACATTTTCTCATTTTTTATGGCATTCATGCCATTGACGTTTATAGGGAATAATAGTTCAGGCAGATTTCAGACTAAAAGAATCCTTTAATGGAAAATATACTTACCTCCCGTGGTGACTTTGAAAATGCCTACTGATGACAGTAATAATGCAGAATATTCCATTAAGACACAGCTTTACAATTATATCAAGATTTTAAAACGCATGATACATTTGTTTGTAACAAAGCCTGCTTTCCTGTCAAAGATTCCATAGAAGGCAAGAAAATAAAAATAAAAAAATTGAAACACTGGCAGCTAATTATCCAGAGTTCCTAAGAATCATGAAAGTTAGCTGACACTAACTGATTCCTTATTTCTCAACCTCCACAACAGGATTTATTTATAAAAGGAGCATTTTGTTGGGCATAGACTAGGAAGCCACGTTCCCTGCTGAGTATATCGTAAATAATACCAAAGATCAGTGTGCTCTCTACTTAGTGAAAATGCTGTGCTTTTGGATTGAATCAAGGTGCAATACTGACGTGTCCTTAATGTAGAATTATTTCAATCTTATTAAGTGATGATATTTTCCCAACTTCCAGACTGAAAGGGCCCACATCACTCTGAACACAGATATTTTTGTTTGCATGTTAGCCTGATTATAAAAGGAAAACAATATATATTCTAGTTAAAAATACAGTCGTATGACAAGACTAAACGATAACATGATTTGGCAGATTTCCTCTTTTCCAAGAACCCATTCATTTTTACCGAAGGCTAGGTGTCAAAAGGACAAAGTTTAAGGAACAAAAAAAGTTTGATCATATATGTTTAACTAAAAGGAGAGAACATCCTCAATATCCTAAAAGGACTACTCATTAAAAACAAAATCAGCTAACAATGGAAAAATTTAAAAAGTACAAATTGTAAGAATTTTACATTAGATATGATTCAAAATATATATTTGATTAAAACTAGTTTTAAAATTTATAGCATTGGTTGTTTATATTAATACTTGATGTTAATGATTGGAATTCTTATTTGAATAATTTTAATTTTCCTCATTTATGTAATTTTAAAGTAACATGAACTTGCTATCATTTATTGTGTCATTCTGGTTTTTATTAAATTAAAGGACTAATGTTTAACATCATCCAATCCAGGTTTCCAATAATTCTCTTTAGGGAGATTTAGTAACAGGCTTCTTTGTCACTGTAAGGCCTATATTGCACAGAAATTATTCAGTAACAGCTATCTTATTTGTTGATACAGAAGGTGATAAGTTAAAAATTAATTGGTGATCCTGAAATGTAAAATGTATGCCTATAATTACCTGCTAAAACTCTCTCAGTAATTTCACTGCCATTGTGCTCTCCCAAAGGAGAGAAAGGAATGCCCAATATATAGATTATTCTATGCCCCAAATCTCTTTTATGTGGGGACTGGGACAACCCTCTCTTCGTATCATTCATTTCATTGAACAAATGTGGGCTTTTCTTTTATTCATCTACTTACACCTTCATTCGTCAAATAATTTTTGAGCAGCTATTATAAAATCAAGGGATGTTTTAAACACTAGAGATGTAATAAATCATAGATCATTATATTACTGCATGATTTTTCTATTAAATGAAAAAAATTGCAAAATAGTTAACACAATATCTAACTTTTACCATTATTAATTTTTCTTTTTCTTTTCTTTTCTTTTTTTTTTTTTCTTTGAGACAGGGTCTCACTCTTTCTTTTCCCCATGCTGGAGTGCAATGGTTTGATCACTGCTCACTGCAGCCTCTACCTCCCAAGCTTAAGCAGCCCTCCCACCTTAGCCTCTCAATAGCTGGCACTACAAGTGTATACCATCATCCTTGGCTAATTTTTTATTTTATTTTATTTTATTTTGTCTTATTTTATTTTTTATTTTATTTTATATTCTATAGAGATGAGGTTTCACCATGTTGCCCAGGTTTGTCTCAAACTCCTGGATTCAAGTGATCCACGTACCTCGGCCTCCCAGAATGCTTGGATTACAGGCGTGAGCCACCATGCTATGCCCTATTGTTTACTTTTCTAAACAGCAAATAAACCATTTTGCTCTTCTTTTTTTCATAACTTAAGCTAATAAGAGTTGATTTATAAATCTTTTGATCATTAGAAATGGTGACTAAGTTGATCAATTCTCATTGGTTCTACTATCAACAAAATACGAAAGAAAATGTATGCAATGATACATACATACTCAGGCTGAGATTTCACCATATATGAAGTAGATACTATTACACAACCTCAAGAATTGCAGATATTTATCAGTAGACATGAATTAAGTGTGAGCAATTAGACGTCTAGGATCTTCTAAAATTATAAAACCCTAACATTCAGGTTTTTTAAGATTAAGGATATCTATTTATCTGTATTCATTTATCAATATAGCTACCTAAGTGTCTATATATAATTTATGTCTATGTTATATATACATGTATGTACATATAAAACATGACTGTTAGACTCCATATACTATTCAAGGAAACTATTCCTTTTATTTTTTCATTTACAAATACACATATACACACTCATATTCATATGTCTTTATTAAAAATTTCAGCTTAACATAGCTATTAACAATAAAATAGTGTCACTTTTCAAAATCCCTTACTCATTATAGGTCGTTTGTGCTCAAATAGATGAATGAAAGAATGGAAGGATGGTGTGATCCTTACATTCATTCAGAAGTCGATTACTAATCATGACTGATATTTGCCTCATAGATTTTGGTGAACAGTAAAAGGAGATAAAGTTTATAAATTTGCAAGAACTGAATTATACAGAACATATAATTATTTTGTACAAGGATACAAAAGCAATGACTGAATTATGGACTCTGCCTCTAGTCAATTATGGTATAAGAAATGTTACATATATGCCCCAAAATAACTAAATGGCATACAAAATGAAAAGTAAGAATTTAATAAAAAATGTTGTGGGCTCCTTTAATTCAAGGACAGTCTTTCCTTCCATTATATTCTCAGTGCTCAGTCTCTGGCACGTTATAGTCACTCATAATGCTAAATAATTTCATTACATCTCCCCAACACATTTTCTAAATGTTTCCTATTGTCATTCTCCAATGGCCTCACCATCAATTATGGCTGTTCAAGCTAGACTTGAGGCCTTCTTTATCTTCCATACCTATCACGTCAGTTTTCATTTACTATAGAATCTCCCAAAATAAATATGCTTTAATTTACTGCCATTCTTGTTTTAAAATAAATTTTTCAGTTACAATCATTAAGCACCACTGTGTCAGTTTTTTGCCATACACTTAAAGTAGATTGCCCTTAATCTTTACAATAAGTTCTCCAATGTATTAATATCCCCATAGCATACAAGATTTACAAATAAATAGAGCTGCAAACTACTGTGGTATTAACGTGAAGATGCTCTCCTTGCAGTTGAGCCCTTTATATTTTTCACTGTCAGTGTGACAGTCTTCAAACTTCTCTCCTTGTCTGCAATACAATTTTGCATTTTGCTTACCCATCTATTTTCATAAAAATGAAAGAAAAGAAAAAAAATAAAAGCAAAAACCAAAAAATAGGTTAGTAATCTTCAAAGCAAAAAAAAAAAAGGCATATTTCTCATTGTCAAATACTTAACTGCACCCTCTCACCTAGAGGCTCAATTCCGAAATCCTATTATAGAACAATATTTTCCCTCAAGTTGTTTTTTTCTCTCATTGCTATGAGGATTTGAATTGTCATTTTAAAACTTGTGACCAGATAATTTATTATTTAAGTCTGAATTTCTCCTGAAATTCCAAAGATAACTACTACCTAATAGTAACACCTTATACTTGATATATCCAGAAGAGTACCACACATTTCCCCACCAATACATGCCAAACTTGCTTCACCTGCAATCTGCTTCAGCACTGATTGGCAATGCTTTCCCTCCAGTGAAGTGCTCAGGCCCGTGACTTTCGAGTCGCCCTGTATACTGCTTCTTGCAAATCTCACCTCCAAAAAGATTAGTTTTCTTTTTAAAACACACATTGTCCCACAACTTCTCACCGTTTCTATTTCTGATCGCCACCAATACCTTCTTCCTCAATTATTAGGAACAATTAGCTTCCTAACTCATAGCTTTCCATCCTGCCCCATTTACACTCAACTGTCAGCATTGTGGTCAGAAAAATCTTTTCAAAATAAATTGTCTATGTGGTCATTTCCTTCTTTTAAACTGTTTAGTCATTTGTCATTTTAGTCAGAGTAGAAAACTACCTCCTTATAATGGCCAAAAGCCTCTCCATACCCCTTTGACCTCTCTTCTGCTGTTTTCCCATTTATTAACTTCGCTCTGGTCTCTTTTTGGTACTGTTTTTTCCTGCCTTCCTGTGTTCACACTGACCATTCCTTCTTCCTGTAGCTGGTCTCCCTAGCTAGCTCAAGTTCTTGATCAATTGATCAAATGCTGGTGTTGATTTGAGGTCTATCCTATCCACTCTTAAAACTATAGTATTTCCCTAGTCCCTCCTTTACATTGCATTTGTTTTCTCCTCAATGCTACTTACTTGTTTACACCGATTACTTTTTGTCTCCCTCAGACAGAATGTAAAATTCATGACAGTATGTCATTAATTGTAAATTTGGTCACTATGATGACCAAATACATAGAATGATGTCTATCTGTCTAGGAGCTCAAAAACATTTGTTGGAAGAATTAACAAATACTTTACTATTAAATTTATCACATATTATGCTGAACTTTAGGCAATAAACATATTATATGTATGCAATATTTCTGCCTCCTCCTTTAGTTAGTGAACTACTTAAAGTTATAGGAGGTGCCTTAGTGATTTGTTTGTTCATTTTATGACTGACAGAGCAGGAGGACTGCCATCTTGGACAAGCCCCTGATTCTAAAGTTCACCTTAATAAAAAGCCACCTAAAACCAAAGGGCATCAGCCTAATGGCTAAGGTCAGCATGACCATAAACCACAAATAACATCTCCAACCAAAAACATTCCAAACTCCTCCTCAACCAGAGACATGCTAGCCCTGAGATAACCCCACTCCAGGCCGGAAAGATGCCTGCCCCAAAATAACCTCCCCTCCTCCCAGAGAGATTCCAATCCTGTCAAAAACTTCTCCACACATATAAACATTCCAAGCTTGTGATAAGCCCCCTCACCCTAAAACCAATATATTCTCTTAGTCTGTAAGAGAAAGCGCAACTGACCGAAATCAGCCAGGAGTGCCTCTCAGGTTTTAACTAAAGAAAACCTGTCTTTAACTGCCAGCCGCGTTTCATTTTTCATTCCTCTTTAACTCTTACAAAGACAACTGATTTTTTCCCCAAAATACAACAGTGCTTGCCCACCATTTTAAGAATAAATGATAGCCAGTAATTATTTTGGTTAATTACTCTAAGAAATTAGAAATAAACCTTAAAAGAATCTGAAAAAAAGTGAAGTTACATTGCAAATATATTTGGAACTTTTGCAAAGTGCCAGTGATAATGATAGTAGGATTTAACATAAAATAAGTATTAGTGTCAGAGAATGACTACTCTTTCAGATTCTGTTCTAATGTAGATGAAGTCTGAGTCACAGTTTTGGGGAACTTCATATTCAAAGACTATGAAAAGGGCAAATAAGAGGAATGTCACTCAGGCAAGGTTTTGAGGAAGATTGTTATGAAAGAGAATGATGAAGTGGAACAGATGACCAGAGATTTAAGAACTCAAACTCCCTCTCCAAAATGTTTGTGAAAGAAAATTAGAATCCTAGGACCCCAAACTCCCTATGCCAAAAGCAAAGTTAACCTTGGGAACTGAATCACTGACTTTCTTTTGTTCCCAAACAGATAGCTATAATTCCACATGCTTAAATTGGGTAATATAAAAATTTAATATTAAGTAAAACAGATTTACTGAGCACAAGAGGAATGCATAATTGACTTTTCCTTCTACTCCTTTATTTTCTCATGTAAAAAGTAGACTCCACCAGGTGCGGTGGTCGGCTCACACCTGTATCCCAGCACTTTGGGAGGCTGAGGCGGGTGGCATCACCTGAGGTCAGGAATTTGAGTCCAGCCTGGACAACATGGCGAAACCCCATGTCTACTAAAAATACAAAAATTAGCTGGGCATGGTGGGGCACTCCTGTAATCCCAGCTACTCAGGCGGCTGAGGCAGCAGAATCGCTTGAACCCAGGAAGTGGAGGTCATAGTGAGCCGAGATTGTGCCACTGCACTCCAGCCTGGGTGACAGAGCAAGACTCTATCTCAAAAAAAAAAAAAAAAAAAAGTAGACTCACTGAGTGCTAATTCACTGAGCTTCCCTCCTGCTCACTCTTTCCCCTTTAAATATTGAAATTCTCAAAACTTTCTTCGGAAAAAGTGCTGGTCACAGGTCCTACTGTGACTTGGGTTTCTATTTCCCAGACACATCCTCAACCTTGGCAAGATAAACCTCTAATCAATTGAGATCTGTGTCAGTCACTCTTTCGTTGGGTTACATTTTGGTAGCCATGAAGGCATTCTCTGAAAGGAGTGTGAAGTTTAGACCTCGGTCTACAGCAGCTTCCCTATCAGGGCCCTGCTACTAGCTGGAGCTCTTATTGTCCTGACAGATGACTTGATTTGCTAAAGTGTGGGAGCTTCTCCCTCCAGAGATCCCTGATCTCCCAATAATTTTTGGTTGAGATCTGAGGTTTATTCTGCTGCTGAGCTCCTCTTCTGGGAGTTTTCTGCTTCTGTGATGGCCAAGAGCAGGCTTCCACTTGGGCTCCATCTCCAGGTAAGTGGTTTGGGGCTTCATTTTGGGGTTTGGTAGCTAAAGGTCAAGTTCTGTCAGCTATCATTTCTTTTTATGCTCAGAGATCTTGACTTTATGTAAATTGTGTGACTGCCTTTTTTCTGTTTTTTTGTTTTTTGTTTTTGTTTGTTTGTTTGTTGTTTGTTTGTTTGTTTGTTTGAGACAGAATCTCCCTCTGTCACCCAGGCCGGAGTGCAGTGGTTCAATCTTGGCTTGCTGCAACCTCCGCCTCCTGGGTTCAAACGATTCTCCCGCCTCAGCCTCCCAAGTAGCTGGGACTACAGGCATGCACCACCACATCCGGCTAATTTTTTGTGTATTTTTATTAGAGTTGGAGTTTCACTATGTGGGCCAGGATAGTGTCGAACTCCTGACCTCAGGTGATCCACTCACCTCAGCCTCCCAAAATGCTGGGATTACAGGTGTGAGCCACCCCACTGGGCCTTTTTTTTTCTTTCTTTTGTAAATTTTAGTCTATCTTCCCTTAGATTTAACCACCTCCTGGCTCCCTCTAATGTCAAGTGAAACCCTCATAGCTGTATAAAGTTAAGTTCCACCTCTAAAAAACCCTGGCCAGTTAAGAAAGATTTAAAAAATTGACTACCTGAGGGTTTTTCTTTATATAACGAATCTGCCTTCCCAGCCTTTCTCTCTGTGTGCTACTAACTGAAAGATTATAGAGATCTATTATTCTACATAATTAATGAAAAGATCAAATTTCAAAAGGACATATAATAGTGCCATGGCCAGCCTTAAAAATTCTCTTGGCTAAATTAAGAGAGAGAGAAAAAAATCTGACCTAAACAGTTAAAACTCCCACCATGGCTTAGGTTTGCTATCTGGTCAGGGAACAAGGGCCACTTAACCTTATGGCACAATAGCTAAAATTCAATTCTGCACTTTCACTGCTATGGCAAGGATTTGATTGCTGGTCAGTGAACCAGCATCTCTTAGTTTATTTCTGTGACTTTTGGGGTACCAATTTACTGTTGATCTTTCCCCCTTCCTTGAACAGCCTTTGATTTCCTGCCTTCTTCTATCTGCAGGAAGTTCACAGAGTTTTGGGCCTTTGGAGTGGAAGGTCATCCAAGAAACGAAGACCCCAGAGAGTATGGCCGGACAGAAGTGTGGGTTATACCTCATTTATAGCTAGTGACACTGTCCTTCTCTGAGCTATCTTTTGGGTGATTCTGGATTTTGTAAAAAAACTGCTTGTCACCTCTTTGGAGACACTTTGTGTGTCCAAGGTTAAGTCATATCCTTGGTTAAGGTACTTGGGAGGATACTTTTTGTTAAAGCAGTTCAAAAGCCAGAAATATTAGAAATATGAACTGTTCTATCTAAAATCTAGTAATAAGAAATTTGAAAGGATTTTTAAGAGCTCTATCCTCAAAAGTCGACAATAAAAACTGACATTTAGATTATATATCAATATATATGTAGTTATAAGACCTCTATTTGCTCTCTCTGTGAAGCTCTCAGTCAACTAAATTTCTCTCTTAAACCTCTGCCAGCCACATGAGTTCCCTCTGTTTCCCTATTTATTTATATAGGCCCGTCCTTTCTCTTGCAACCCTTGGTACAACATAAGGGGACAAAAAGAAAAAATTTAACAGCCTGGGACTTCTAACCTCCACGCCAACCCCCTCTCCCTCCTTAAGAAAAAACAGAAAAGGCACTGCAGATTACTTTTTTTAGAGAAATTGCTGTTTTTTTTTTAACTCAGGGAATCCCAAGAGTTGGAATGAACAGAGTCCTTTCAAATCCAAACTTCTGCTTTTTTTTGGATTGCGTAACCTTATCTTTTTGGCTTTTGGGGGTACAAGAAATTACTTTGTATCGTAAAAAATTTGGCTTTGGTGTATATAATGACAAGGGAATGGGCTGATCACAGAGTGGGCTGATTGGCATCTGGTTGCCCACCAGCCTTGGAGGAATTTCCTTGTAGCGAAATTCACTGTGAAACTGTTATGTGGCCCAGTCCCCATGGCGTTTCTTCCTTCGTCGAAATCCAATACTCATGGTGGGCCCTGCCTTGAGTTTAATGTTCCATTTAAAAGATCAAAACTAAATTAAAAGTCCCTATCTAAATAAAATTGGCTTTCTTATAAAATCTGATGATAAATTTAAGTAATTTTATATTACCTTGGCATCCATTTATTAATCTTCCTCTAACACACCCAAAATTCTTTTGAAAAGCTTAAATTCTCTAGTTCTGTCTGTACTATGAGATGTAAATTCTCTATCTTGTTTCACATAGGTGTTGTGTCTTTAGACATGCAAATTTAGGGTGGCCTGGCTAACAATTGACTAGGGCAGTAAAGCAGATAATTGGAAGAACGAATGAAAAAATTCTTATTTAAAACTTGCAAATGAAGAATCTTATAAATCTAGAAAAACTGCTTTTGTTTGTGTGGTCTGTATGTCTATGTGTTTATATGTGTCACGTGTATGTGATGTTTCACAAACATATTTGAAAGTTCTAACTAATTGGCCTAAAGAAAAAGTAAGCACTTAAATCAAATCTCATATCAAAAAATAGAAACTTTAACTCAAATGACTTTAGTAATCATTAGTAAATAAAGACAGTTTTGAAATTATTTGTAAAGTAAAATAGAAAAGTCTTCAAAATTTGCAGTTCAGATACTGTTTCTGTTAGATATTTTAAGGTTTAAAACTTGGCTTCTGTAATACTTTTGATCCTTGCTTAACTTCTCTACAAATTTATGTATTTAGATTTGAGCCTTTGGGGCCACGAAAAAGCCTAGCTTTATGCATTGTCCTTTGTCGTGGGCTTACTCTGAATCTGGTACATATTTAAAATCCCTTACTTCTGGGCATGGTGGTTCATACCTGTAATCCCAGCAGTTTGAGAGGCCGAGACGGGTAGATCACTTGAGATCAGGAGTTCCAGACCAGCCTGGCCAACATGAAGAAACCCTGTCTCTACTTAAAATACAAAAATGAGTCAACCATGGTGGTGTGTACCTGTAATTCCAGCTACTCGGGAGGCTAAGGCACAAGAATAGCTGAAACCCAGGAGGCAGAGGTTGCAATGAGCAGAGATTGCACCACTGGACTCTAGCCTGGATAATGGACTGAGACTCTGTCTCAAAATAAGTAAGTAAGTAAGTAAATAAATAAATCCCCTTGGTTCCTAGGCCTCTCCCTAAAAATAAGAGTTACTAAGAGTTAACATTACAAATAATATATCTTATTAAAACAATTAAATATTAGTGAAACAATTTTATATGTAAAATGTAAAGGAAAATAGAATGTGTTTTTGGTAAAAAGGTAATAGGAAGGCATGGAAACACGTTTTTTGTTAAAGGGAATAATTTTACCTAGTTTTGAGGTTTTACTCAAATTGAAAAAATGAAAAAGAATGATAGCTAAAACTGAATGGATACAGAAAGTTGGAAAAGAGAGAATGTGGAAAACAATTGTAAAACATTATGGTTTATTGAAATCTTACCTTATGGTCAAACTGAGATTAGGTGGATATGTTTATAAGATTTTATTTAAAATTGCCTCTAATGTTAAGAATACACTATGTAAAAATAAAATTTTCTCTTTTGAACAAGATTTTTGTGTAGTATAAACAGATAATAACATATTTTTGTTTACCTTTTGAGTAAACTACAAAAAAGGGGAAAGAAAAAGGAACAGATTAAGTAGGCATTATGCCATCTTTATTTTATCTTATTGTTTGGGAATGAGTCTCCTCCCTATCAGAGTAGAAGATTTTCTTTTTAAAATCTTTAATTATCATTTTGGCTAGTCAAATGACTTACTTTTATAGAGACCTGTTATCCCATTTTGTAATATCAAGAATTTGAAACCTTTGATACTTGAAAAACTCCAAAGTCAAAATTTTATGTCCTAAATTCAGTCTTATTGATCTCATTAACTTTTTTAGATGTTAGGACACTTGAAGTCCAAAAGAGACATGTTCAGATCATTTGATATAATAAAATCATACAGAAAGCATTGTTAAATATGAAACGGTGTTTAACATTTTTGTGTCATCCACAGACAATTATTATTTTATTTTGATCCTTCTCAAAAGCAGTTAATCATCAGTTATAATGCAAAACCGATTTCTCAAAGGAAATTTCTATAAAGGACTCTGATGGGTGTTCTTAAGTGCAGGTGTTGGATAATCTTAGAGATTGTGCCATTAGACTAGGGAAAATACTTCCAGGACTCTCACTGAAGAGCTCATATATTCATAAGAATTACTAACCACTGTCAAGTGGAATGAGTTAATTTTAAGAGACTGAACTAGTAGAGGAATGAAATAATTTTTATGACTTTATTTTTGTTTGAAACATTGCTGATTCTTTTTGTTTTGTTTCTGAGAGTAAATAAAAGTTTTTTTTCTTTTGAGCAAAGTATAGCTTGTAACAATTGAGTAAAGTATACACTTGTGAGTAAATTTTGAAACATATTTCTTTCTATCTATCTGATTTATCCAGAATTTGGAAACTATTTGTGAGTATTCTTAATTTACAGCAATATAGGTATTTGCATAAGTTCAATAAGAATCTGTTTCCTTTTGTAATAGAACACAATTGGAGACACTAGTTATTATACCAAGGCTTTAACCGGAATGACATACTTTAGGTATGAACCAACTGCTTTGTGGAATTGAGATTAACATTACAGGGTTGACAAAATCCCCTTTGAAATACTGTTTTTGTACCTTGTCTATGCAGGTTTTTTACAGGGATCCTGTAAAGAATGTCACATCCTATTAAGAATGCCACTTTCTGACAGGCCCAGGAACCTCAAGTTTTTTAAGGAGGCAAAAAGTTATCCAATTCATGCAGACCAATACTTTCTCTGAAAGATTTTGAAGAAAATGGGGGAAATGTATAAGAAAAATAGAACCTTTGGACTCCAAACTCCCTATGCCAAAACGAAAGTTAAGCTTGGGAACTGAGTCATGCAAAAACTGCCTCCTTTCTGTTCCCAAACAGATAGCTGTAATTTCACATGCTTACTTAATCTTATGCAAAAATGTAGATTTACTGAGCACAAGATGAATGCATAATTCACTTTTCTCTCCACTCTCTTTTTTTTCCGTGTAATATGTAGATTCACTGAGCACAAATTCACTGAGTGCTAATCAGATCCTCACAAGAACATAAGCACTTGCCTCATTGCCTACTCATCCTCCTTTTTTTCCTTCCCCTCCTGTTTACTCTTTTCCCTTTAAATATTGAAGTTCCCAAAACTCTTTTTGGAAAAAGCGCAGGTTGCAGCTCTTACTGTGACTTTTCTTTCTTTTATCCAGATGTACCCTCAACTTTGGCAAAATAAGCCTTTAATGAATTGAGCTCTGTCTCATTCACTTTTTGGTTGACAAGTTCAATTTTTGAGTTTATTTGCTTTGCATATTCTTTGTTTGTTTCAGGCCATAATTATTAAGTATAAAGGGTTAATTTTGTATTTTCCTGATTACTTGTAACAAGTTTCCCTTGCTGATACTGCCATGCTGTTAATTGCAAAGAAAACCTTGAAATGTTCCTAGCCATAAACTTTAGAGACTAACTTGAATCAAGAACCCACAACAAGACCAATAAAATGAGTGGAGAGAATTGAAAACAATGAGCAAAGATGCTTAGAGGCAAAGGTACAAAGATGACTATAAAAAATAAAATATAGACTTTAACTACCACCTCATTTTAAATCAGCAAAACTGTATACAAACTATAGATATAATAATAAAAGTATGTGTGTATATGTACATATATACTCACACACACAATACATATATAATACAGTTTATAATACACAATACAGTTTATAATACACAATACAGTTTATAAATACATATAAACTATGTGTATCCACATATATCTGATATATGTATATATTTGTCAATAGTTACATAAGTATATATCAACAAAACTTTATTTCACTTCATTCCAATGTTTATTATACATATTGCAATTTGTATATGGTTCTCTTGAGAATCTTATTAATTCTTTAAGGCTACAAATATACTACTTACCTCCAAGCTGAACTACTTACACTAATTCATTTTCAGATTTGGCAACTAACTAATCAAACAGAAGGAAAAAGTATACTTCATAAATGTAATTAGGGCAGAAAACAAACAAGGAAAAGGCAAATAAAGATAATTTGTTCAAGCTTATTTTTTGCTCATTAAAAATGAGATTATTTTAAAAGGGTATATAAAGCAGCACAATGTACAATTCTTTATTAAATTAGAGGATTTAGATAGGAAAGGATTAAAGATTAACAAGCACATAATAGAAAACTGGTAGACAGTTGGTTAAAAAAAAATTCCAGCTGTGGAATTCTCCTGAATTTGGAACATGACATTTACAACTCCACAGGAAGAACAGCACAGCAACTCCAGCCCCAGATTTATCTGAAGAAACCTCCCACATGATGTGAAATATTTAGAAGTATATCTGAGACTCTTGCCATGATCTCTGCCTCTCTCCTTTTACAATCAAAAGGATTCTAAATGAGCTTTTTCCAATGTGTAAAATTCATTTCAGTGTTATAGTTTACAGTTTACCTTTGTTTCCATTATTCTCACTACTAATATAGTTTAAGTGAAACTTTCCTAAATGGTTTTGCTAATATCAATGCATCTTTGTAAAAGACTGCCAAATCTAGTCATTGATTCTACTTCTGGCATATCATCCTACACTTCTTTTACAAGAGTAAAACTAGCACTGCAAATAATTATTATTTAACATCTTAACAACATAATTAAATTTTATATTTCTGTTTCTTCAAAGAGTTAAGCTTTATTATAGCTTGAATTTGACTGCATTTTTATTAATGTGAGCATAAAAAATATTCTTCTAGAAGGATATAGGTACTTTAGTAGTTTCAGTGTATGAATGTTACATTCTCTTGGCAAGACTATATAATTTAGAGGAAAGCAGCTCCTTGATTTTTAGGTTACATTTGATTAAACACTTAAACCTGATAAAAAGTAGGTTCCAGCAGTGTATTGGGCACCTAAATAGGTTTCACATAAATATTTGTTGAGTGATTGATTAATCTTGGCATTGCAATACTTTGTTTTCTAATTTTGGCAGTGTGAAAAATGTCAGGTTCCATGCCTTCCCCACCCTCAACCAAAAAGGCAACATGTTTCATTCATATTTGAAAAAACATATTCTAGAAATGTCACAGTAACCTTTTAAGTTGACAGTCTCTGCCTAGGAATTCTTGACAGCAGCTATGCACAATTATGCCAGCTCTATATTGAACTTTCTTACATCATCTTCCTAAAAGTGATAGTCTGAGCAGACAGCATGTAGATGACTAGATAGAAAAAAACACACACTCAATGCACTCTTTTATAAATTTTATTTTTGAGGCAGAAATAAGAAAAAGTGAAACAATTTTTGTGTGTTTTTATTGACAAAGAGAATTATTATTTAAAGATTATCTTATAATGCCTTAACTCCCATATGTATAAAATTGATGCTCCTATAAATTACTAATATAGAATGCTGAACACAATTAATTTTGTACCTTGATATGTTTCTTAGTATACGTCTTTTAATTTTGTTGAAAAAGCAAGAAAAATAAAGATAAACACAAAGGTTCTTCTCCAAATTAATGAAAACATAAGGGACATCATTTTAGTGGTAGATTTAAGTGCATAAGATTCCCCTTATAAACAATACTTTTAATGTTTGAACCTGGAAAACGTATACATGGAATCTTAAGAATGTGTCTAATTTACAATAATGAAAAAGAAGATATAGGTGGTGGTGATTATGATGATGATGATATTGATAGTAACAAAAATTTATTTGCCTATTATGTTTCAGGATTATTCATTGTCTTACATATAGTAACACATTTTATTGTCACAATGAATCTCTGAGGTAAGTACTATTATCATCTCCATTTTACATATGAGGAAATCCAGGAATAGAAACACAATTACCCAAAGTTGTATTCCTATCATAGTGTAGAGCTGGAAAACAAAAGTGAGTCTGTCTAAGGCTAGTTGTCTTATCCATACCTCTATTATTGGTAAGAAAAAAATAATCTTGATCTCTCAGGGGAGCAATGATAGTGAGAAGATTTCTGTCAACAATGTTACAGAGAATAAAATTTTTAGTTTAAAAAGAGGTAGTATTTGAACCACACGTATAGTCCATATTCCTATAATACAGCAGTTACAGCTGACTTTCTATGAATTCTAATAGATGTGGATATAATTTTTACTCAGAATGAATATCAATAAACATACATTGATAAGTACAATTCAAATACAGGGGAATTACTTCTAGTATATTTTTAGATTGATTTACATTGGTAAAAGTGAAAGTCATGAATATAGATATATTTAACATTTTGTTGGTTGAAGAAGTGGAAATGAGTATGTAATGGTGAAAAAAAAACACACCAACAACAAAAATGCTTTTATTTTTCCAGTTTGTTTAATTTAAGCGGTTAACTCTACCTGAAAGTAAGCATCCACTTATCAGAATGCATCTAGAATATTAATAGCAGAAATAATAATATAATAATGCCAATGTGGTGAATTTGATTCTTTGCCAGACAATATAGTGAGGCAACTTCCCATTTAATTTATTTACACAGTATTTGAACTTCTTCTCCTACCTCATATTTTGTTGATTTTGCCTCTATACTTATTAGTGTTTCTTGCTAGTCATGTTTTTTGTTGTTGTTTGTTTATTTGGTTTTTGTTTTGTTTTGTTTTTTTGGAGATGGAGTCTCATTCTGCTGCCCAGGCTGGAGTGCAGTGGCACAATCTCGGCTTACTACAACCTCTGCCTCCTCGGTTGAAGCAATTCTCATGCTTCAGCCTCCCAAGTAGCTGAGACTACAGGCTTGCACCAACACGCCCGGCTAATATTGTATTTTTATTAGAGACTGGGTTTCGCCATTTTGACCAGGCTGGTCTGGAACTCCTGATCTCAGGTGATCTGCCCTCCTTGGCCTCCCAAAGTGCTGGGATTACAGGCATGAGCCACCGCGCTTGACTGTCACGTTTTGCCTATAGTAGTGCTGCACCAAAAACAGCCCCTAAATCACAGTGATTTATAATAAATACAATAATTACTGTCTCTCATGAATCTATAGGTCTATTTCACCTGCAGTTTGGATTCACTTCTCATTCTGATATCAGTGGATACCCAGCAACTATCCTATGTTCTTTTCATGGCAGACAGGAGAACCTGCATAATATCAACCAATGATATTACTATCTAAACTCTTTGAGAAAGTGTTTTTGTAGTTTCTGTTGATTCTTCATAAGAATAGTAGTTTTTGAGAGTTATCTTAGATGGTGAAGTGATTATTGCCTTTGAAATACATATATTTGTAGGAATAATGTGGGGTTTTGGAAGAAGATGCATTCCTCAATTCACTTCCTCCATGGATTTAGCTTCGTCAAAAAAAAAAAAATGAGACCTCTGAACTTAATTCAGGACTTAAGAATATTTGAACTACCTAGGATATGAGACTGTTAGTTATAAACTCCTGTGATTGTGGCCACATGCTATTACTTCTCAATATGATTGCCTGGTTCCCCGTTGTCTGCCCTTTTCAGGGTCAAGAGAATCCTTCCTGCAGTCTTTTGATAGTTAGGGAGCAAGGCAGGAACAGGCTTGTTTTGAGTTCAGTCCTGATAGTACAGTCCTTTGGATACTCACTTTTGTCTGTAATGTTTTTAGGTAGGTCTTAAATTTTGTCCCCATTTCCAGGTGAGGTCATTAAAATAAAAGTTTACTTTCATCAGAATTTGAAATGACCTTGAACAAAAGCAGTAAGAGCTCAGCTTACTTTGATATCTTCTGAGATTTTCAGTTTTTACTTTTAAAGAAAATCAATATATATAGGTTTCAATAGAAGATACAGAGAAATAACAGCCTACCAGCACCAGGCATGAGAAACAAGAAGAAACATGACAATACTATTTATCTTTAATTTACATCTGAGGAAGCTGAAATATAAAGAGTTTAAGTAACTTTCCAAAGATCACAATCTTCATAAAAATGGCAGCTGGATTTGAACACAAGCCACCTGTCTCTAGAGTCTAGGCCTAGATGCCTAGACTTTTAATCAATCCTGTAATGCTCATGAATATTAAACCTGACATAAGAAGCTTAGGAAGATTGTCATGGATGACCAGACCTTGTTTCAATGGCAGATTGGAGAAAGGAATGATAGAAAGAGGTTAAAGAGATCACTAAACACTACCAAAACCTATTTGGGGAACAATATGTTTTGTTCAGAATGATACGGGGAACAAATGTAATCTCAGCCTTATTTCATTCAAGATAAAAATAAAATTTACAATGGGAATTTAGTAGCAGGGATGTTATGGTTTTTGAGGGATGATTAGAATCACAAAAATACAGAAGAAAAATAAGATGAACCTGATAGTAGCCTAACTTGCAATCTGGCCAGGGAGTATTTTTTTCTCTTTAGTTGCCATTTAAAAAATATACTTTGTGTCAGTTGGACCAATATATATTTCTTTCTTTTCCTTTTACTTGTTATGAATTGCTCAATTCCTCAGTATTTACAAATGGGCTGGGTGAAAAGTGGATATAATTTCTCTTTAACTTAGACTTCCTACACCAATATGCAACTTTGAAAATTCAATTTTACTTGTCTGTTTGAGAAATTTAGATTCAGACAGGGAACAGAATAATTTTACTCAAGAATGCCAACCACACACTTATGCCTCCTTCTACTCTGGTTAATATATACTACTGAAGGTATCAGAGATGGAAAAACAAATGTGAGGCAAGGAAGCTTTCTTCTATGAGAAATAAGTGTGGCGTAGTAACTATCTGAACTTGGGGAAATCAAGAGTGGATAAGGAAATAAAACCAAATATTTCTTTAGCAGTTATATATAGATTTGATGTGTAGCATAAAAATATCTGAGAGAAGATTCAGATATCACTTTTTCTTACTCTCACATTTACCATAATTCACACACTTCTCAGCTTTTGGCCTTTAAATTATTTATTTCTATAATAAGATTTAGTTTGTGACCGGGCGCGGTGGCTTACGCCTGTAATCCCAGCACTTTCAGATGCCAAGGCAGACAGATCACATGAGGTTGGGAGTTCAAGACCAGCCTGACCAACATGGAGAAACCTCATCTCTACTAAAAATACAAAATTAGCCGGATGTGGTGCTGCACTCCTGTAATCCCAGCTACTCGGGAGGTTGAGGCAGGAGAATCACTTGAACCCAGGAGGCAGAGGTTGTGGTGAGCAAAGATGGTGCCATTGCACTCTAGCTTGGGCAACAAGAGCCAAACTCCGTCTCAAAAAAAAAAAAAAGAGAGAGGAAAAAAAAAGATTTAGCTTGTGGTACCATATATTCTTAATTTATAGAATTTGTTTTTATTTTTAAATAAATTTGGTTTAGACCTCACCAGGAGAATTTTCAGAAATATGTATACATATTTACACAATATATAATATAATATTTGTAATATATTACACACCATCAAAAAGTTGTTACTCATCTACTTTTCTAGTTTACATATATGTATACATTACATAGGCATGTTATATATGTAAAACATACATATATTTACATATAGACATATGAATATAGACAGACCTCTATATTGTCTTTTCTAGTTTACATATATATAACATGTCTATGTAATACATACTTATATGAAAACTAGAAAAGTAGATAAGTAATAGCTTTTTGATGGTATGTAACAAATTTTGTAACGTCTAATTTTGAACTAAGTCAAATATACAATAAATTGAAAGAATAATTCTTTATTCCTGTATACTCTTTATAAATAGACACCAATTTTGAAGATTTTTTGAAATTTTATTTATTCTTAGAATTGATCCATCTATTACCTATCATCTACATTCTTATTTTTATTTCACTCAAACTGTCATATTGAAGTGGAATAGTACAGTCTCCTACTATTAGTATATTCCTATTTCTCCTTACATCTCTTGTCCTTTCTTCATTTTATAAGTAGTTAATGTGTTGTTTGGTATTACTGTTATATCTTCTTTGTAAATCTTTTTAGCATTATAAATATTTCTTCTTTGTTTTATTTAATATTATATTTTGACTAAGTTTATTTGGCTGGTATCAAGATAGCAACTGCTGCTTTCTTACAATTTCCATTTGCATGGTTATCTTTTTCTTATCCCTTTGTTGTTAGTCTTTTAATTACCTTGATTTAGTATGTCTTTTATACACAGAATCTCATAGTGGGAGTTAATATTCGCTGGTCTAGATGGATCAGATAATAATTCGTGGCAAATGCATAAAATTTGTTAACTAAAATTAGGTAACATTCTTGTAATCATATTTGGAAAGTTGTTCTAGAGCAGGATATATCAGCCTGTAAACATTTTCTAAGAAAAAAATACTTTGATTCATGGTTTGTACCTGTGTGTTTTTTGGGAGAATTTAATGGTCAAGGCTATTCATATAGTTCGAATGTGCCTAACTCAGTACAAGAGAGTTCCATCATGAAAAACTCAGCTTTCTAATGCTAAGGTGTTTCACATTCATCCAATAGCTGTGTGAGACATGAAGACAATGAGCCTCCAAGTTGGAGTACAAAGAAGCTTATACCTCAGATTTTGGTTGTTACAGTAATGTGGCATCCTTTATCTATAATGAAACTATTTCATGACTAAAAACTCTTTGAGTTTTGCTATTCTTTCAATATTCAAACCTTTAAAATGATTTTTTATTAATTCAAAGAAAGAATTGAGTTTTGTGTTATGAACCAATGTGACTTTTTAAATAGGTAAATTAAGCCCATTCAGATTTATTGATATGAATCAATTGTTTGGTCTCTATGATCACCTTAATTTATGTTATGTTAATGTTTTTTAATATATCGAATTAATTTAATGTTATTTAATATATCCAATCTTAGAATTTATTATTTTACTAAACTTTCCCTAGCTATCTCTTTTTTGGATAAAGCTTATCTTTTACTAGAGTCCCCCCAAAAAACATTCATGGGCCATACTTGAATTTTTACCATTTCAAAATGTTTCTTTTGAAGCCTTTGTATTTAAAGTGCAATGTGGCTAAATGCAAATCTTTGGCATGCACTTTGTTTCCTGAGTTTCTTGAAATGGTATTACCCCTTTGCTCAATTCTCTATGTTCCATTGGAAAGGAAGGGGTGGCCTGCCCCTCCACACCTGTGGGTATTTCTAGTCGGGTGGGACGAGAGACTGAGAAAAGAAATAAGACACAGAGACAAAGTATAGAGAAGTACAGAGAAAGAACAGTGGGCCCAGGGGACCGGCGCTCAGCATACCAAGGACCTGCACTGGCACCAGTCTCTGAGTTCCCTCAGTTTTTTATTGATTATTATCTTCATTATTTCAGCAAAAAGGAATGTAGTAGGAGGGCAGAGTGATAATAAGGAGAAGGTCAGCAACAAACGAGTGAGCAATAGAATCTATGTCATAATTAAGTTCAAGGGAATGTACTATGACTGGACGTGCACGTAAGCCAGATTTATGTTTCTCTCCACCCAGACATCTCAGTGGAGTAAAGAATAACAAGGCAGCAATGCTGCAAACATGTCTCGCCTCCCACCATAGGGCGGTTTTTCTCTGATCTCAGAATTGAACAAATGTACAATCGGGTTTTATACTGAGACATTGAGTTCCCAGGGGCAGGCAGGAGACGGTGGCCTTCCTCTATCTCAACTGCAAGAGGCTTTCCTCTTTGACTAATCCACCTCAGCACAGATCCTTTACGGTTGTTGGGCTGGGTGACGGTCAGGTCTTTCTCATCCCACGAGGCCATATTTCAGACTATTACATGGGGAGAAACCTTGGACAATACCCTGCTTTCAAGGGCAGAGGTCCCTGCGGCTTTCCGCAGTGCATTGTGCACCTGGTTTATTGAAACTAGAGAATGGCGATGACTTTTACCAAGTATACTGCTTGTAAACATTTTGTTAACAAGGCATGTCCTGCACAGCCCTAGATCCCTTACATGTTCATTCATACAACACATGTTTTTGTGAGCTCCAGGTTGGGTCAAAGTGGCTGTGGCAAAGTGGCTGGGGCAAAGCTACAAATTAACAACATCACAGCAAAGCAATTGTTTAAAGTACAGGTCTTTTTCAAAGTGGAGTCTCTTATGTCTTTCCTTTCTACGTAGACACAGTAACAGTCTGATCTCTCTTTCTTTTCCTTACAGAAAAGTCTAATAACAGCCTAATTTCCATAATTTTAAAGTAACTTAATATTTTTGCTTAGAGTTTCCAATAATTTTTTTCTTTGTCTTACAGTGTATAACTTTTACTAAAATATGTTTCAGGATTGATTTTTTTAAGTCCAATTTTTTCCAGGGTAAATGGTGGAATACTTCAACAGGTTTAATTAAAGTTTTAAAAATTGTTTTTAAAAGATTTGTTGCATTAGAGCTTTATACATTCATTCAGTTTGTTTTTTTTTCTTCTTCTTCTTTAAAATCTCCAATTATATGGATGATGGACTTTCTTAGCTTGTCTTTTGTTTCCATCACTTTTACCTCTGAACCTTTGAATTTCTTGATTTCATTTCCATTTCCCACTGTTTCTTTAATTTGTCTTGTACATTTGCTTCATTAGATTTCATTTTAATCTATTTTTAATGCAGAATGTTTGCTCCTTAATTCAGCTAAATTTGGGTTCTTGCATCACGACCGGGAAAAATTAGGCACCTGGAAACATTGAAGGGTGAGGAGAGCAGAATTTATTGGGTGAAAAAGATAAAAGAAAGAAAGAAAGAAAAAACACTCAGCAAAGTGAGAGGGAGTCCTGCCAAAAGACGCCCAGCTCACGGATTGAGTACCACGTCACCACACAGGAGCTGAAGAGCCCAGACTCTTCCCCTCTGCACAAGACAGGAACTTCCTTTGGTTCCACCCCGTCCCCACGGTGTGCAGGTGGGTTCCCAGTCCCTTGCCAACATGCATAGACAATACCCTGGGCAGGTTCTCTCATCTACACAAAAGCATCTAGCCTAAACACTTGTGGGTGGGTAGGAGATTCTCCAGGTAGGAGATTCCCCTTATTTTCCTCTTGCATCTATCATTTTCACCTAAAAACTTGTAATTTGTGGCTTAGTTCTGATATTTTTGTTTCTTTTTGTTTGCTTCTTTAAATCAAATATCTTCACATTTATTTTCACTTTTATTAGTCTTTATTTTGGATATCTGATTTGTAAACCAAAAAATATCTGAAACAAGTCTCAATCAATTTTGAAGTTTATTTACCGAGAATAAGGACATGCCCAGAAGAAGAAATCACAGAAGTGCAGAAAGAGTTTGTGGTTTGTGCTTTTCTCCAAAATTGATTTTGAGGGCTTCAACACTGAAAGGGAAAAAGTGAGCTGGAGGTAAAAGGATGGTATGGTAATCTACATGTTGCAAGAGAAAAGGAGCAGGTAGGGGAATAGTCGATTATGTATTCATCTGGTGCTCGGTAAATTGGCACTTTACTTAAGATAAGGTGAACATAGAGTAGCTACCTGTGGAGATATTTAACCTTTTATCTGTAGTTATCTGCTTAGGAACAAAAGGAAAGGCAGCTTCTTGCATGAGCAGCTTCTTACATAACTCAGCTTTCATCTTAATTTTTTTCTTTCAAGCATAATGAACTGTGGTCATGAGTTTCTATTTTCCTTTCACAGATTCTAGGGAGCTTTGTTTACTACTTTTTAAAATCTTAGAAGGCTAACTTTGGATATTTATTTCAAATAGAAGTAATAATATTAATTTCTGCTCTTGTGTAAGTATGTGTGTGCATGTGTGTCTTTATGTTTTGGGCATACAATAATCAATGAGTGAAATAGTTTTATTTGCATTTTCTCTTTTTACCATAGATATATACAGAGGATTTTTTATACAAATTTGCTAACCTTAGGTATTTTATAGAAAGTGTTTCTATTAGTTTTCTAAAACTTCTGTTAAAAGTTACCAACAATTTAGTGGATTATAGGAGCAAAAATTTACAATATTACAGTTTAGTAGTTCAGAAGTCTCACTGAGTTAAAATCAAGGTGTTCACCAGGCTAAGTCCCCTTCTGTCAGCTCTAGGAGAGAATCTGTTTCCTTGCCATTTTCAACTTCTAAAACCACCTGCATTCTTTAGTTATGGCCCCCTCCCTGTATCTTAAGTTCATCACTGGTGGGTTGAGTCTTTCTCACATCACATCCCTCTTACTTGCTCTTCTGTTACACTTTTCCATTGCAGAGGACCCTTTGGACTACATTGGCCTCACCTGGAAAATCCAGTATAATCTCCTTATTTTAAGTTCAGTTGATTTTCAAACAATCCATATGAATCCTTCTCTTTTGTTGCGTAAAGAAACACGCACAGTTTTCAGGAATCAGGATGATGAATGTTGATAACTTTGGGGGCCATCATGCTGTCTACACAGAGTTCTAAGTTCCAAAACGTCCACCTCTCCCAGTTTAGTAAATTTTATAATATTGAACTATGTTGGCTGTAGTGGTTGAAAGTAAGGTGTGAGTGAATCTGGTTTCTACTTCATTTCTGTAGAATATTTAATCTATCTATTTGATTTTCCCCTTGTAATATGGTTTAGATGTGTATTCCCCCCAAATATCATGTTGAAATGTGATTCCCAGTGTTGGAGGTGGAGCCTGGTGGAAGGTGACTGGATCATGGGAGCCGGGCCCACATGCACAGTTTAGCGTCATCCTCTTGGCTAGATGTGAGTTCTCACTCAGTTAATTCATGCAAGATCTAGTTGTTAAAAATCTGGGACCTCCCTGCTACTTGCTCTCTTGCTCCTGCTCTTGCCACGTGATGTACATGTTTCTGCTTCACCTTCCACCATGATTGTGAGCTTCCTGAAGCCCTTACCAGAAGCAGATGCCGGTATCACACTTTCTGTACAGCCTGCAGAACTGTGAGCCAGTTAAACCTCCTTTCTTTATAAATTACCCAGTCTCTAGTATTTCTTTATAGCAATGCAAAAATGATCTAATGCACATTGTTTATCTTCTCCTCCAAGGAAATGTTTCTTTATGTCTCTTACTTCTGGACCCATTTTCTTTCAAGCTACCTTCCTGTAGTTGGTGCTGTGATCTACCAATCCCAGATTTCAATATTTCAAAATATTGTTTCAGTATTTTGGCATTCATCTAGCTGAAGGCAATAAGGGTAATTTTGTTTATGATTTAATAAAATACTCCCCACTTTTTCAAGGAATCTATGAAGTATCCTTTCCTCGAATATCTACCTTTGCTCTCTGTACATAGAGGCTTGCAGTAGTGTAGCAGCACTAAAAAAAGTTGGTGATTATATCTCTATTTTCAGACAGTAACATTTTTTGTGACATTCTCTGTTTCCTAGGGATGGAGACACTATGAAATTTTTATGTATGTGTGTGCATTTTACTACTTATGAGTCTTATAATATTTTGAATATCGGTCAATAATTTTTTTGGAAATAATATGTGGAAAGAATCAGATTCAAGCAACCACCATTATCTTTCAGAGCCAGAGCTCTCTTGTGTATTATTCTTTCTAATAAAGGAGCTGCTATTCTTTCTGATGAAGTATATAAGCCATGGGTGTCTTTGCTTCATAGTATAATTTTCTAGTGAAGATGGCTTTTAACAGATTTTTTCTTGTTTTCTTAGTTACAAATCCTACCATACAGTAACCTCTTATTTCTTTAACTTTTAGGTACTTCTCAAGACATAATGCTAGCTAAAATACAACTAAAATAAAATTATTTAGAAATGTAAATGTTTTTTACAATAAATAAAATTGGTAAAAATAGAATATATTAGAAATGGTAAAAAGGCAAAACAAAATATGTTAGATAAAAATTCACATTTTCAGTTAATCAAAAGATCAGGCCGGGCATGGTGGCTCACGCCTGTAATCCCAGTACTTTGGGAGGCCGAGGTGGGTAGATCACCTGATGTCAGGAGTTCGAGACCAGCCTGGCCAACATGGTGAAACCCCGTCTCTACTAGAAATACAAAAACTAGCTGGGCATGGTATTGGGTACCTGTAATCCCAGTTACTCCAGAAGCTGAGGCATGAGAATCACTTGACCCCAATATCCACCACTGCACTCCAGCCGGGGTGAACAGAGTGAGACTTTGCCTCAAAAAAAAAAAATACATGCAGAAACTTGAAACAATTATTTTCTTTCTCAGTCTCCAGTCTCCATTTCCTCTTTAAATAAGAGGCTTTGAGCTAGATGATCTCTATTTCAACAACTGTAGTTTTATACTTAATATCTTTGATTATTTTCTGTTTTCAAAGCTGCTTTCTAATTCTTGTTTAATGTTTCTAATATCCTCTCCTTTTCAATATTTAATACACACATATGTGCACACACATATACACACACTCATTTTGATTCTCTTCTGTAGGTGGTCTTTCACTGTGACTGTTTTTCTCATATGTCATGTGCTCATTTTAAATGCTCAAGGGATTTGCTTTCTCTAGTTAATAATATCTAACTGGGGCTGGAAGAGGAGTGAAAGTCTAAACCCTATATTATGTTCTATGAGCTAAAATAACAGCATTGCTTTCAAAAATTTTTTATTGAGATCTACCATAGAAATATGCATTTCATAATGTATTTTTAAATACATATAGCATATAACTACATTAATTTTTTAAATGGTTATTGAATGCCTATAAAATATCAGATGCATTCTGACTCACTCAGTATCAGGATTGAACAAAAACCACAAATATTTCAATCCTCATGGATTTAACATTTTATAATAAATGTGTGTGTGTATTTGAAAAGCTTAACTTACAAAGAACTTACTTAAAAATGCTTACCATCACTCATTTGATACACCTTGATGTTTTCAATTCATTCTCATCTTATTTAAATACACTTATTGTAGCCCATTAAAATATTTTTTGTTACAAATGAGCTTTGTTTAACAGTCTGAAAAATACTTCTTTTTGGTGATAGAGGAAGGGCTTGACCTCTCTCATTTTCCTTACACATGTTATCCTACAACTCAGAATAATACCTCATGATCTCTGCTTAAGGCACTACACAATCTTGAGCCTGCAATTGGCCATTGTAATTGACAAGTATCCCATATATGGTGCTGGGAAGTAGATTGAGAGTAATGAGAGAGAATGTATGAAGCACCTTACTTTACACATTGCTGGTTCCTATTTATCCATATGAGCACAGGAGCTCTCCCATTTTTGCCCTGTTACAAGGCATCAGTTTTGCTTTCTTGTCCTCAGTGAGCTAATGAGAAGGCAAAGATCCCTCTTGGTCAATTTGCAAAGGAACAAAAACACAAATAATGTAATTTTCCCAAACTATCATCTATGATTTATGTATAGTCTCTTGTCTTCTCTCACTCCAAGGCAATGATTCTCCAATGTTGAATCCCATTCCTTCTATTCCTCTGATGCGGGCTCCCCATATATTTGTATGTACTTTTTAGAATTCAGTAGTTGCCAAACCCAGGTCCTTCAATTATACTCCTTCTTTTGTGGGTTCAGAGTAGAGACTGAGAACAAATGTATGTTCCTTATTTTGTTAAAAGCTTGAATGCTGGTTCAAGACTTCAAAGTTCTATCATTTTATATCTCAGTTCATACCATCTCAAATGTTTGAGAAAAGTGGGCTTTAATTATAGAAAAATAATATGATTAAAGGAATAAGTAGTTAATACTTGTTTGACAAAAGAAGAGAAACAAGAAGCAAATATTTATATCTACCTATCAAGATTTTACATGTATTTGTAATTAAGACTATAAGAATATTTTCAAACTGTCATATAAGGAAGCAGGAAAAAACCTGTATAATCCTCTCACTATAATAATGAGCAATTTTTAAAATTTTTTAAACTACTTTAAAAAAGTTGACAAATATATGAAATCTATGTCATCAAAATAATCTATAGAAACAAAATTAATGACATATTAAAATATGCTTTAAATTATGTGATTAAACAAGGCTGACATAGGCATGTAGAAATGATGACTATAATATTTAAATATGTAAATAAGCTTTTCATGATGCAGTTTAATATATCAATATTCTAATAAATTTTTCAACATAAAGTTGGAAGAACATTTAAGGTGTAGAATGTATTTAAATATATGTTGTGGTTCTTTTTCAAAATTTTAAGTTATTCTAAAAGTCATTGGTGTATCTGAGAGTATGAAATCTCACAAAAACACATATATGTATACCCAAATTCATACACATATGCATATATACAAATACAAACTTATAATGCTTTTATACATTCATATAAAACTGTTATTTGTGTATATATATAATTACATACTTATGTAATTATATAGATATTAGTACAAAACATTTCTTTATAGCAGTTTTTGTTATAGATTAGCAGTCATAGATTAAATCGCTATTTTACTTAGTGGTAGACTATTTTTTCAATAAAGTATAAATAAATGTAATTTGCTGGGTTTTGACAAATATATGTAATGTTTAATACCCACACCCATTAACCTATACGGCATATCTAGTTTTATTCTGCTTTGCAGGTATTGTGCTTTTTACAAACTGAAGGCTGTGGAAACCTCACATTAAGCACGCCCATCTATATCATTTTTCCAACAGCACATGCTTGCTTTATGTCTCTGTGTCACATTTGGTAATTCCCACATTTCGGACTTTTGAATTATTTTTATGTCTGTTACGGTGATCTGTGATCAGTGAAGTTTGATGTTACTAGAATAGTTTTTGGGGAACCACAAACTGCACTTATGTAAGGCAGCAAACTTAATCCTTAAATGTGTGTATATTTTGACTGCTCCACCAATTGGCTGTTCCCCATCTCTCTCCCTCTTGTCAGGCCTTCCTGTTCTCTGAGACATGATATTAAAATCAGGTCAATTAACAACCCCACGATGGTCTCTAAGAGAAAGAAAGAGTTGCATGTCTTTCACTTTAAATTAAGAGCAGGAAATAATAAAGCTTAAAGAGAAAGGTGTGGCAAAATAATTAAGCTTAAAGAGGAAGGTGTGTCAAAACCAAGATCAGCTGTAAAGTAGGACACTTAGGCCACACAATTAGTCAAGTTGTGACTGCAAAAAAAAGTTTTTGTACTATCACAAGGACAGAAAAGCAAACACTGCATGTTCTCACTCATAGGTGGGAATTGAATAATGAGAACACTTGGACACAGGGTGGGGAACATCACACACCGGGGCCTGTCGTGGGGTGGGGGGAGGGGAGAGGGATAGCATTAGGAGATATACCTAATGTAAATGATGAGTTAATAATGGGTGCAGCACACCAACATGGAACATGTATACATATGTAACAAACCTGCACGTTGTGCACATGTACCCTAGAAGTTAAAGCATAATAAAAAGAAAAAACTTAAAAGTGCTACTCCAGTGAACACACGAATGTGAAAAAGCACCCTTATTGCTGATATGAAGAAAGTTTTAGTGGTCTGAATAAAAGATGAAACCAGCCACAAAATTCTCTTAAGCCAAGACGTAATGCAGAGGCCTTAACTCTCTTCAATTTTTTAAAAGCCAAGAGAGGTGAAGAGTCTGCGGGAGAAAAGTCAGAAGTTAACAGAGGTTGGTTCGCGAGGATTGAGAAAAGAAGTCATTTCCATAACATAAAAAATGCAACGCACAGCAACAAGTGCTTATATAGAAGCTGTCAGAAGTTATCAGAAGAGACAGCTAAGATAATTGTTGAATGTGGCTACACTAAAAACCAGATTTTCAATGTATGAAACAGCTGTATCTTAGAAGATGTCCTCTAAGAACTTTTATAACTAGAGACAAGAAGTCAATGCCTGGCTTCAAAGCTTCAAAGGACAGTCAGACTCTCTTGTTAGAAGCTAGCGTACATCTAGTGACTTTAAGTTGAAGCCAATGCTTATTTACTGTTTGAAAATCCTAGGGCCCTTAATAATTATACTTAGAGCTGGGCACAAGGGCTCACACCAGTAATCTCAGCTACTCAGGAGGCTGTGGCTGGAAGATTGCTTGAGGCCAGAAATTTGAGACCAACCTGGGCAACATAGTGAGACCTCCTCTCTAAAAACAGACAAATAAATGAAAAACTTTGCCCTGTGTGGTAGTATGCACCAGCAGCTGCAGCTACTCAGGAGGCTGAGGAAGGAAGATTGCTTGTGCACAGGAGTTTCAGGCAGCAATGAGCCATGATCATGCCACTGCACTTCCTCCTGGGTGAACCAAGCAAGACTCCAACTCTCAAAAAAAAAAAAAGTTATGCTTAATCTACTCTACCTGTGCTCTATAAATGGAATAACAAAGGCTGGATGACAGCACATTTGTTTACAACATGGTTTACTTACTCAATATTTTAAGCCCACTTTAGAGATCTATTGCTCAAAAAAATTTTTTTTCCAAAACATTACCGCTTATCGACACTGCACCTAGCCACCCAAGAGTTCTGTTGGAGATGTACCCAAATATTAATTTTGTTTTCATGCCTGCTAACACAACATCCATTTTGCAGTCCATGGATCAAGGAGTAATTATTGACTTTTGAGACTTATTATTTTTAATCCCAGCTACACAGCTCCCTGAGTAGCCAGGATTACTCACATGAGCCATTAGGCCCAGCTCTAAGCACAATTATTAAGGACCCTACGATTTTCAAATAGTAAATAAGCATTGGCTTTAACTTAAAGTCGCCAGTCTTATTTTTAAATTACTCCATGGTTCAAGAAGTAATTTTTGACTTTTGAGTCTTATTGTTTTGAAAATATACATTTTATGATGCCACAGCTACCATAGAGAGTGATTTTTCTATGGGTCTGGGCTACATAATTTGAAAATCTTCTGGAATTGGATTCATCATTCTGGATGACATTAAGAACATTTGTGATTCATGGGAAAAGGTCAAAATATTAATATTAGGCCAGGCGCGGTGGCTTACACCTGTAATCCCAGCACTTTGGGAAGCTGAGGTCAAGAGATCAAGAGATCACGAAGTCAAGAGATTGAGACCATCCTGACCAATGTGGTGAAACCCATCTCTACTAAAAATACAAAAATTAGCTGGATGTGGTGGCCTGTACCTGTAATCTCAGGTATTTGGGAGGCTAAGGCAGGAGAATTGCTTGCACCTGGGAGGCAGAGGTTGTAGTGAGCCGAGATCAGGCCATTACACTCCAGCCTGAGTGACAAGAGTGAAATTCCATCCAAAAAAAAAAAAAAATCAATATTAACATGAGTTTGGAACAATTTGATTCCAACCCTCATTGATAACTTTGAAGAGTTCAAGACTTCAGTGAGGAAGTAATTGCAGATCTAGTGGACATAGCAAGATAACTAGAATTATAAATGAAGCCTGAAGATGTGACTAAATTCCTGCAATCTCATGATCAAACTTTAACAGATGAAGAGTTGATTCTTACGGATGAACAAAGAAAATGGTTTCTAGAGATAGAATCTACTCCTGATGAAGATGCTGTGAACATTATTAAAATGACAACAAAGGATTTAGAATATTACATAACTTGGTTGATAAAGTAGAATTTGAGAGGATCGACTCCAGTTTCTACTCTGAGTAAAATGCTATCAAACAGCATCCTCTGTGCTACAGAGAAATCTTTGAAAAATGCAGAGTTAACCGGTGAGGCAAACTATATATATTTTTTTTATTTAAAAAAATTGTGGGCGGATGCAGTGGTTCATGCCTGTAATCCCAGCAATTTGGGAGGCTGAAGCAGGTGGATCACCTGAGGTCTGGAGCTCCGGACTAGCCAGGGCAACATGGTCTTTACTAAAAAAAAAAAAAAAAAAAAAAAAAAAAAAATACAAAATTGGCCACATGTGTTGTCATGCATGTAATCCCAACTACTCAAGAGACTGAGGGAGAATTGCTTGAAACCAGGAGGTTTCAGTGAGCTGAGATCTCGCCATTGCACTTCAGCCTGGGTGACAAGAACGAAACTCCAGCTCAAAAAACAAAAGAATTGCCACACCACCCCAGCTATTAGCAATCACCACTCTGGTCAGTCAGCAGCCACCAACATCTAGGCAAGACATTCCACCAGTAAAAAGATTATGAGGCTTGAAGGCTCAGAAGATTGTTAGCATTTTCTAGCAATAAAGTATTTTTAATTGTAATGTACATTGTTTTTAAACAGAATTCTAGTTCACACTTAATAGACTAAAGTATAGTGTAAATATAACTTTTACATGCACTGGGAAACCAAAATATTCTTGTGACTTGGTTTATTGCGACCTTCCCTTTATTGTGCTCTGGAACCGAGCCTTCAATATCTCCAAGGTATGCCTGTAGAACATTTTCATCACTGAAGTATGCTCCCCAGGTCCTGGTTCCATAAGTTCACATTCCTCAGCTTCCCAGTACAAAACACTATTTTGCCACTATCAGTTATTTCTGCCTGTCTAGAGCTTAATATAAATGAAATCCTGGAATATACATGATTTTGTAACTGGCTTCTTTCACTTAACACAAAGTTTTTGAAATTCATCTGTATTATTGCAAGCACCAATGTTTGTCTCTTTTATTGCTGAATATGAATTATGTAAATGCAAAAGTTTCTTTACCCATTACCTGTAAATGAACATTAGTGTCGCTTTTCCTTTTTAATTACTGTAAATGGAGCTTCCATGAATATTCTTTTGGGAATATTCCTGGGTCACGTGTTCTGTGGTTTGGAATTGATGGGTCATAGCGTAGATCTTGCTTAACTTTATAAGAAACTCCCAAACTGTGTTCCTAAGTGACTGTAACATTTTCTACTCATGGCAGGAATGTGAGATCCAACTGCTTCACATACTGGCTAACATTTGATTCTATCAGTCTTTAGTTTTTGTCATTAAAGGGAATATAAAGTAATTTTGCTTGGTAATTATAATGTTTCTTTCTTTAATGACTAATGATTTTTGGAATTCTTTCATGTGATTCAAAAGTCTTTTATACATTTTATAAATTATGTAATCAATTTTTCTTTCATATTTAATGATTTTGGTGTCTTTTCTAAGAAGTCTTTACCTACCTAGGGTTACAAAGTAATCTTAGTTTTCTAAAACTTTTTAGATTAATCTTTATGCTTACTCTAATTATTCATTTCCATTTAATTTTTATGAATCATTTAAGGTAGGATTATAGAGTCATTTTCCCTCAGAAATATCCAGTTGTTTCAGTAGCATTTATTGGGAAAATAAGCCTGTTCCCAATTAATTATTTTTTATCAAAATTAATTGCTTATATAGGTTTGTATCTGTTTCTGGACTCTTTTTCTGTCCCCTTTATTGATTTGTCTTCCCCTACACTCTCAAAATTACTGTATATTTATAGTAATGAAAGTGTTAAATTTCAGTAGTATAAATCTGCTCTATTGGTTCTTTGTATTTTCACAGGTATATTAGAATCAACTTGTCAATTTATACAGTAAAAGTGTGATGGATTATTTATAGTAATTATTGAATTTGCAGATTACTTTTGGGAGAATTTATATATTAATGTTATTTACTCTCTAATGATTTGATCTAGCACTATATTTATTTAGATCTTTGATTTCTCTCTGCTTTATAATTTTTATTGTAGTGGGTATACCATATTCATTGCAAATATATTTCAAATTTGATGTTACTGTGAATGGTATCATTTAAAAAATGGTTATTTTCAGTAAATGTTTCTAGTATACTTATATCTATATACATACACTAATATGTATATATACATTAATATATATGTGCATAGATAGATAGATAGATAGATAGATAGATAGATAGATAGATAGATGTTGTTGTTTTGAGACAGGGTCTCACTCTATCACCCAGTCTGGAGTGCAGTGGCATGATCTCAGCTTACTGCAGCCTTGACCTCTGCAGGCTCAGGTGATTCTCCACTTCAGCCTCCAGAGTAGCTGGGACCACAGAAGCACACCACCTCACCGGGCTAATTTTTGTATTTTTTATAGAGATGAGGTTTTGCCATGTTGCCCAGGCTGGTCTCAAACTCCTGAGCTCAAGTGATCTGCCTGCCTCAGCCTCCCAAAGTGCTGATATTACAGATGTGAGCCACCACACCCAGCATATAATTTATTTTTACATGTTTTTGAGTCTATAACCTTGCTAAATTCCTTTATTAGTATTTTTTGGTTGTTTTCTGATGAACTAATGTTTTATATAAAAGTCATTCTTTTTTTAAAAAAAATTTATTCTTCCATTTTGATCTGAATTAATAGTTTTCTTTCTCTCTTACATTATCCATTAATTCTAGCAAAATGTCAAACAAAAGTGGCAGGAGGAGATACTCATTTCCATATTTGGGAATTTGTAGTCCATCAAATATAATTTTAGGTATAAGTTTTTCATGGATGTCTTTTATCATATTGATACCAGAATATCATATTGATGATACTCTTTTCTATACCTAGGTCTTGACTGGGTTTTAAATTTTGCCAAATGCTTTTTGTACATCTATGAAGACTACCATATAGACTTTATTCTATATTTTGTTGATGTAGTAAATTTTACTGATTGATTTCTGAATGTCGTGCAGACCATTATAAGTCATTTACACATGTCAACTCATTCAATTCCCGTAACATCTCAACGAGAAAGGTGCTATTAATTTACTCAAGGTCATGCAGATAATAATTTATCAAAATAAGATTTAACAGTGGAAGGTTAACACCTGAATTTATGCTCTTAACTACTATATTTAACAATAATCTATTAGAATCTGTTACATGTATGCAATCATTTATACAATAGAAAATAAATTTAATAAAATCTACATTACAAATAAACTTATACAAGGAATTCAGAAATCTAAAATTATACAACCACATACTCTAATTTTTTTTCTAAGTTTGAGTGTTTGGTTGTCTTAGACACTAAAATGTCCAAGTTCTATTGTTTTCTTTTTTTTTTTTTTTTTTTTTTTGAGACGGAGTCTCGCTCTGTCGCCCAGGTCGGACTGCGGACTGCAGTGGCGCAATCTCGGCTCACTGCAAGCTCCGCTTCCCGGGTTCACGCCATTCTCCTGCCTCAGCCTCCCGAGTAGCTGGGACTACAGGCGCCCGCCACCGCGCCCGGCTAATTTTTTGTATTTTTAGTAGAGACGGGGTTTCACCTTGTTAGCCAGGATGGTCTCGATCTCCTGACCTCATGATCCACCCGCCTCGGCCTCCCAAAGTGCTGGGATTACAGGCGTGAGCCACCGCGCCCGGCCCTATTGTTTTCTTAAGCAGAAAATAACAAGTGTCTCCCCTTGGCAGAGGTTCTCATTCCTGTCAATTTCATTTGGTTTAATGATGAGAAAAACACAAAATTATTTAAAGACTCACTGTTGACTTTCCAAGCCTTTAAACATGTGAACACATTTTTAAAATTAATGATTTTTTTTTCAACATGGAAAATTAGAGATTGTAACAGGTCAGCCCTTTTGAGGACTTTCATTGAATTCTGTAGTTCCTTAAGCCAGTTACCTACTATAGTATATGAACACACTTTTTTTCTTTGATAGTAATACTGTCAAAAATACCAGAATATTGTATTACAGAAAATATAAAATTGAAGTGAATAACTACATATGAATTATCATACTAAATACAATCATTATTGAAGTTTTTTTCCTACATCGTTATCACCTTATATGGAATCTTAATGGAATTAGGATGCGGTTATTTAATTTTTTTTTCCCAAGGACAATAGAAGATACTGATTTCTGTGATGAATAATACTTTCTCTTGTATAGAATTTTGTTAGTTCAAAATATAATAATATGCATTATTTTACTTGATCCCCAAATTTTAAAAAATTGGCATATTAAATAGGGAAATTATCCCTATAATTAGCTTCAGGCTTCTTTTATTAGTTACGTTTCAATAGCACCTGGCTTCTGCTGATGTTGAGGCATTTATTATGCTACTGGCTTCCCTTCTTGAGTAATTTTTGTCAATTCTTAACCCCTAAGGGTGATATACAAATCAGCTGGTATCTATATATCACTACGTGCCTGTTTCAATTTCCTTAAGAATTTTTTGTTCAGAGGTCATCCTTTAAAAGATGAGATAAAGCCGAAACTAGGTATGCCCTCCCTCTGGCAAAAGTTTTGATCCCCTGATGATTTCTGCTATAGCTTTGCTGCTGAACACCACAGGAAGCCCCATGTTTGGGGCACTTTACTGGTCTCAATCGGTGATATAACACTTCACTGTTGAGAGACAGGAGTAGCTGGATTTCCTAGGCCGACTAAGAATTCCTAAGCCTAGCTGGGGAAGGTGACAGCACCCATCTTTAAACACGGGGCTTGTAACTCAGATCACACCCAACCAATCAGGTAGTAAAGAGGGCTCACTAAAATACAAATTAGGCTAAAAGCAGGAGGTAAAGAAATAGTCAAATCATATATCACCTGAGAGCACAGGGGGAAGGACAATGATCGGGATATAAACCCAGGCATTCAAGCAGGGAGTGGCAACCCTTTGTGTCCCCTCCCCTTGTATGGAAGCTCTGTTTTCACTCTATTAAATCTTGCAACTGCACACTCTTCTGGTCCGTGTTTGTTCTGGCAGGAGCTGAGCTTTCGTTGCCGTCCATCACTGCTGAATGCTGCCGTCGCAGACCCTCCGCTGACTTCCACCCCTCCGGATCCAGCAGGGTGTCTGCTGTGCTTCTGATTCAGTGAAGCACCCATTGCTGACTTCCACCCCTCCAGATCCGGCAGGGTGTCCACTGCGCTTCTGATCCAGTAAGGCACCCATGGCGGCTCCTGCTCCCCACTGGGCTAGAGGCTTACCATTGTTCCTGCCCAGCTAAGTGCCCGGGTTCATCCTAATCGAGCTGACCACTAGTCGCTGGGTTCCACAGTTCTCTTCCATGACCCACAGCTTCTAATAGAGCTATAACACTCACTGCACGGCCGGAGGTTCCATTCCTTGGAATCCATGAGGCCAAGAACCCCAGGTCAGAGAATAAAAGGCTTGCTGCCATCTTGGATGCAGCCCACCACCATCTTGGGAGCTCTAACAGCAAAGACCCACCCAGTAACAGTGTTGTGTGTAGGACATTTCTCTCCCCAGTGTAGAGCTTCATGCCAAGTTGCATAAGGGCTTTCACAAAAAAAGCTCTAAGTGACTTGTAATTTTGATTGACTGGTATGTAGCCATGTATGAATGTGGTTGAACACAGAAGGAAACCATCGATATTCACATATCTCTGCACTGAAACATCTTTTTTTCACTAACTCAGCTCTGGTATTTGCCTTTAGTCACCATCTCATATCATGACATTTTCTAAGATGAGTTTACCTCTGGGATGACACTTGTCCTTCTTTCCTAGAATTCTAAGATGAGTTTACCTCTGGGATGACACTTGTCCTTCTTTCCTAGAATTCTAAGATGAGTTTACCTCTGGGATGACACTTGTCCTTCTTTCCTAGAATGACCGCATATAGGTCTACTTCACATACACTTAAAATGTTTCTAAAACTTTTGGTTGCATGAAGAACAAAATGTTTACTTTTACTTGGAAATATTGGTGAGGTTTTCATAGAGAAAATGAGAAATAGCTCCCTCTGAATAGTGTACCAGAATCTCACAGCAAACAAAAGTGGTGAATCCTGGTGGGAATGCAAAATAGTACAGTTATAGAAGAGTGGCAGTTTCTTACAAAACTAAAACCTACTTTTATTATATGATCTAACAAGAGTGCCCCTTGGTATTTATCCAAATGAGTTGGAAACTTATATCCATACAAAAGCCTGCATACAAATATTTATAATAGTTCTATTTATAACTGCCTAAACTTGGAAGCAACTAAGCTGACCTTCAGTAGGTAAATAGATTTAAAAAAAAAAAACTATGGAATATTTTGCAGTGCAAAGAAGAAATAAGCTATCAAGCTATGTAAAGACACAGAGGAATCTTGCCTATATATTACTAAGTGAAAGAAACCAACCTGAAAAAGCTACCTACTATATGATTCTCACTATATGGCATTCTAGAAAAGACAAGAGTATAGACAGTAAAAATATCATAGTTTCCAAGTGTTGGAGAGAGGGAGAGATGAATAGGTAAGGCACAGAAGATTTTTAGGCCAGTGAAACTATTCTGTGTAATACTATAGTGGTGAATACATGTCATCAATACATTTGACAAACATTATATATATATATATATATATATATATATATATATATATATATATATATATATATATACCAGCCAGGCACGGTGGCTCACACCTGTAATCCCAGAACTTTGGGAGGCTGAGGTGGGCAGATCACCTGAGGTTGGAATTTCGAGACCAGCCTGACCAACATGGAGAAACCCCGTCTTTACTAAAAATACAAAATTAGCTGGGCATGGTGGTGCATGCCTGTAATCTCAGCTACTCGGGAGGCTGAGGCAGGAGAATTGCTTGAACCCAGGAGGAGGAGGTTGTAGTGAGCTGAGATCATGCCATTGCACTCCAGCCTGGGCAACAAGAGCAAAACTCGTAATCCTAGCTACTCAGGAGACTGAGACAGGAGAATTGCATGAACCCGGGAGGCAGAAGTTGCAATGAGCCGAGATCACGCCATTGCACTCCAGCCTGGGTGATAGCGCGAGACTTTGTCTCAAAAAATATATACATATATTATTTATTTATTATTTATATATATATGTATGTATATATTGCATATATACCAAGAGTAAGAACTAATGTAAATTACAGACTCTGGGTGATAATAATGTGTCAATATAGGTTCATCAGTTGTAACAAATGTACCACTCTGGTGTGGGATGTTGGTAGAGGGGGAGGCTATTATGTGTGGGCCAAGAGATATGTGAAAATTCTCTATACTTTCTGCTCAGTTTCACTGTGAACTTAAAACAGCTCCAAAAACTAAATTATATTTTTTAAAAGTGGTAAAATTATTTTGGCCAGAGAAAATATTGTATCTGAATCAAATACCCACTGGTGGGTGGACAAGCCTGTGCGGTGTCTGACATATCAAACTGTGAGAAATACATATAATCACTGGAAATGTAACAAGGTAGATAAAATTATTTTTGTCAGATATTTTGTAGAATTTAATACTCTGCATATTAGGTTAAAATTCATAAAATTGCTAAAATCCAAACTTTTAAGCCAAAAGAATACTGTTAATTTTGTATGTCTTAAGCTAATATTGAAAAATGAATGCTGATCCATGGTTTCTATAGAAGACTGAGATGCCAGTGCAGTTTCTCTTGGTTAGTGGTCAATAAAATGATTTAAAGAAGGATGAGTCCACTGGACAGTTTGTTTATTGAGAAGAGTATGGAAGACTAACTAGGCCCAGCGGAGAAATGCTTGTGACACAAAAGAGGGGGGAAGAGATTGGCCAATGGTACCAGAAGTCCACCTTCTCAGCATGTACTTTCTGTTATAATTATATATTCAAGAAGTATTTACAGAATATTTTACTGAAGAGGCATTCCCTTATACACTGGGGTGACTAGATGTCTCAACTGAGAACTATGCACAATCAAGAACACTAAAAAGAGCGTGGAAAATCAGAGAGAAAAAAGAACTCTAAATTTTATGGATTCCAAGAATCAGACAGGTATGAGCTGGAAATCATGGAGGATCTTAAGCATCATCTAGGAAGACAGGCCAATCTCTAGAGGCATGAGAGATTCCTAAGTAAGTGAGATCTGTTTTACACTTTAGAAGTAATTTTGTCTGTGGTAATAAACTTATTAGGTGTGCAAGTAAAAGAAAGCAGTGACAATTGAGATAAGTTCAATCAGCCAGCCAAGAAATGATGGATGTTGAGCCAACCATTGGTAACAGGAATCAATAACTCCAGGAAATTTGAGAATTTTTAGTATAAAATTGTAGTGTGATGAGTCCTTCACTAAGGTTTCGTTTGGATACTGTATGTGTGTGTCCACTGCCTGACCACTGAAGGCTAGGTTGCGTGCCAAAGCTATGGTGCCCAAACCAAAGAGCAGGTGTCTCTGAGAACCCAAACATTCTGGAGAGCATCTGAAAACCTCCCAAGGAAAACAGTCTCATTGCTCAAACATAGCAGAAATAGAGCTAGCAAATTAGCTTAAAAGCAGTTTTGAGGGTGGGGGGGGTGACACAAATCCCCAAATTGTCCTGCTGCTGCCCACGAGTATCCTGTATGTAAGTCCTAATAAACAGGTCTCCTCACCAAGCTTGACTTGTCCAAGTCGTTCTTTGGTCTCTTGGCTCCCTCCCAGGTTGTGGGAAATATTTTTTCTATACAAATCTTGATTTTTCTCGTAACAAAAGTATTGAAGAAAAAACAGTTAAAAAAACAGATTAAACAAACCTTAGTGGATAGTTCAAATGTAGTAAATGGGGGAAAGAGAAGACACAAAGAAGACTATGAAGTTCCTTATGGGGATATTGGAGAAATATGGTTGCCACTCCTTGAGCAAAAGAAACAAAGACTCAAAAAAGAAGCATATTTTCAAATTAAAATTATTTTATTTATTAAATCAACAAACCATGCAAAATATGTATGCAAAGTGCAGGATATTCAATGGTTAGTGTGAGCTTGCACCATGGACAATAGAAAGGCAGGGATTTTTAAAGCATTGGGATAAAATAATAAAGTGAGTAATACATACACCCCATGAATAGAACACAGTGGTATTTGAAATAAAATAGATGCAGCAATGAACTTGGAAACATTTGTTGTCAGGTAATGTGGGGAAATGGATTTGGAAGAGCTAGACCATTTGGGTTCCTCACATTCTTGCTCAGAACCATCAGTAGTGGAACTTGATCTTGGACTGGAGCAGTGAGGGCCACCCCTTGGAGTAAAGACATAAAGAAATGTTCTTGAGAGCTAATTATTCCCAGGAGGGGGGAACATCTCATACCCAGAAGATATGGCCCTGGTACATACCTGCCCTCCATACATTCTGTTCATTTTATACAACATCTGGGATCATATCATGACAAGGCATAATAAAACTGGAATGGGGTTTGCATATCATCATAATAATAAATAGAATGAGAATCACCAAATATTACAGAAAAATTTCATAATGAGACCAAGGCAACAAATTTAACTAATATAATTAAACAGAATATAGATAATAAATAGAAGATGTTAGAATGAATATAATAAAAAGCTTCAGAGAATTGACTTTGAGTATTTTATCTGTAAAAAGAATTAAAAAATGAACTTGGAGATTGAATTTTTATCTTCAAAATAGTGCAGATTTTTATTGGATAAAGCATATTGTGTAATTTTAAAACACTGTCTTCTTTTAATGGAGAAAACTTACAAATAAAGTGGTTGTCTTTGCCTCATAGCTTCTTGAGGGTGACCTTTCTTTCCAGTGAAGAGCATGCCTAAATATCTTCAAAATAATGCTGATTGTATAAGAGAAAGAAACAGACCTTCTCTGCAATACAATATCAAGACATTCACAATTTTCTTGACTTTGAACTTTTGACTTTTTTAAGACTATATATGCTTAGTTAAAACAAGCAAAACCTTGTAATTCATGCAATTGATTTTTTTATGTGAAAATTACCCAAAGGTATAAGAAAGGAATATTACGTTTTATAATGGCATCTAAAGTCCGTCTTGGCTTGTTGAGCTTACAGAGTTCACATTTCAACTTGCATTTCTGAATATGATTATGGTATTAATTTCTCTTTTGCTGTGTGTGAGTTCTTTGAGGTTAGGCGTCATTTTTTCTTTTGTGTTTTTTCACAGAAATTGTGTGTGGGACCTACCAAACAATAGACATTCAGTCAATGTCTTATGAATGAATGAAAAAATGATTATTTACAAACTTGTTTAAAATTCTTTCTTTTTGTCAACAATTCAACATCTTCTAGAAATGAGTCTTTAAAAGAGTAATTATCTTATTGTGTTACTTTGTGACTTGAAACAATTTTTTAAAGAAACAGTGTTATAAACCAGCTGTAAAGTTAGCTCCAACTGGAAAGTATGTGGGAAGCAGCCTACTTCAACATTTAAAAAAAATATAGACAAAAATGACCTCTTTCGGCCTGGGGTGGTGGCTCATGCCTGTAATCCCAGCACTTTGGGAGGCCAAGGCAGGCAGATCACCTAAGGTGAGGAGTTTGAAAAGAGCCTGACCAACACGGTGAAACCCCATCTCTACTAAAAATACAAAAATTAGCAGGGCGTGGTGGCACGTGCCTGTAGTCCCAGCTACTCCGTGGGCTGAGACAGGAGAATCACGTGAACCCTGGAGGCGGAGGTTACAGTGAGCCGAGATCATACCACTGCACTCCAGCCTGGGCGACAGAGCGAGACTCTGTCTCAAAAAACAAACAAAACAAAACAAAAAAACCTCTTTCTTACATCGTGCTCATCCTTGTCCAGTTTCTTTCACATATGTGATTTCCGAAAGATTGTTCCTTTGAAATTATTAGGAGATTGCCTGACATCTAGTGGACACCCACTAAATGCTTGTTAAATTATGCTGTGAAAGGACAAGAGAAGGAAAGGAGGGCAATGGCAGCTGAGAGTGTAACACAACTGAAAATGCCCCAAACTATAGCTCAGTTAGGGAGAAGGGGCTGGCATCTTAGAAGCTTCCTGAGGCATTCTCTAAGAGGAGTCTTCTGAATTTTTCAAACTAAGAGGAGATTCAGAATAAGACACAGTAATCTAAATATCCACATACATCTTAAGAATAGAAAAATTTAATAAAAAATATAGTTAGGATTACATTGGTAAATATTTAATTATAATTTGTACCATACACATATAAGTTAATGACAATATAAAAGATAAATTGTGAAGTTTTAGTCTGACTAGAATGCATTTTGTATTTTATGGACAGTAATTGAGTCAGCAATTCTTTGCTTATTTAGAGGCTGAAAATCAAGAATACTCACATTATAAAAGGAATCAGTAAAAAAAAAATAGGTGAATAAAGAAATAAACATTTCACTTGGAACATATTAGGTCAGGTGTAACTAGATCATGAAAGGCGTTAACTTAGAATATGCTGTATACTATTTGAAACAGCTAAAAATTATTTCCTATGCTTCTTTGAAAGTGATGGATATAACTTTACACATTTGTGCATTTTTAGTATTTACAGTGGCATTTTTAATGAAAGATAGTGAACACTCCATTTCTCTTTCTTGAATTTTACACACCAACATTATTCAAATTAAAGTCCTTTATAAAAGATAACCCGATGTGTATACTCAATGTGTCTTCATTACTCAAATTCACTGTCTATCCATTCATTTTTGGCCTGAGACCAGGTACAGGCACAAACACGATAAGAAGGTGGCTCTCACTGAGAGGAGAGAGCTTGTGTTCAGCAATTGGTGTGGTGCCACAGTGTAAGCTGCCAAGCACAAGCACAATTTTGCTGGACACCTGTGTGCTCCTGAAAGAATCTGACCTAGTTGTGATGTGGCCCAGTGCCATAAAGGCAGATGGAATTTCAGAGCCTTAAAATAAAACATATAAATCAGCTTTCATGTGGAATTGATCTCCCTTCAAAATAATATCAAAATTCATGTAAATCAGTTTGAACAGAGGATGCATGCCCTTTTAAAGTTGTCATTAACTAAATTTCAGTCACTAGAATTAGTATCAATGTTGGGGTTATGTAATTTTAAATGTTAACCCAATGTTATATGACAATCTCAAAATGATATTAAGGAATCATCTAGTTTTCTGGGATTAAAGAAAAGAAAAACGAAGAAGCAACAGAGTTTAGATGCCAAGGAAAGGAAAACGTAAAAAGTCTAATTTACTTGGCTATTTTAATATAAGAAGGAAAATGAAATTTTTTTGAAAAGATGAACTTAGCAATATAATCAATATTGATTCTTTGTCTTCCCCTTTGTTGTTTATTTTTAAACTTCATTCAAGTTACTGCATAATCACCCTCCTACTAGAAGCAGACATAGAGGAGAGAATCCAGGTGAAAGCTCTGTCTAGTAAGAGGCGGCATGGCCCAGGGGTGACATATTCTGAGTATGAAGTCAGATATCCAGGTACTTGGATGTCAGCTCTACCTTCCACTGCCTCTTGCACATTTGACACATTTTAAATGAATCACACCAAATCTTATTTTTTAGGCCCTATTGTGATGGTTAATTTTATTTATCAACTTGGCTAGGCTATGGTGCCCAGTTTTTTTGTCAAACACCAGATGTTGCCATGAAGGAGTTTTTTTTTTTTCTCATGTGATTAACAATTATGATCAGCAGACTTTGAGTAAAGCAGATTATCCTCCATAAGGAGAACCCCAATAAGTTGAAAGCTTTAGGAGAAAAACTGAAGTTTCTTAGAGAAATAATGCTGCATCAGGAGAGTAACAAAGAAATCCTGCCTGAGTTTCCAACCTACTGCCCGTCTTGAAGATTTCTGACCTGCCAGCCACCATGATCATGTGAGCCAAACAATTCCTTAAAATAATTTCTCTTTCTCTCTCTCTACACACAAACACACACACAAGACACACACACACACGCACATACATACATACATACGTGCAGTTGACTCTCCAATATTATAGGCTTTATTTTCTTCTGCCTTTGCAATCCCTGAGACCGCGAAACCAACCACCCCTTTTTCTCTTTGTCCTCAATCTCAATACTCAATGTAAAGATGAGGAAGATGAAGACCTTTATGATGATCCACTTATACTTAATGAATAGTAGATGTATTTCCGCTTTCTGATTATTTTCTTTCTTTCTTTCTCTCTTTTGAGATGGAGTCTCACTCTGTCACCCAGGCTGGAGTGCAGTGGCACCATCCCAGCTCAATGCAACCTCCACCTCCTGGGTTCAAGCGATTCTCCTGCTTCAGCCTCCCAAGTAGCTGGGACTACAGATGCGCGCCACCACGACCGGCTAATTTTTTGTATTTTTAGTAGAGACAGGGTTTCACCATGTCGGTCAGATGGTCTTGATCTCTTGACCTCGTGATCCACCCGCCTCGCCTCCCAAAGTACTGAGATTACAGGCGTGAGCCACCACGCCCAGCCTCTGATTAGTTTCTTAATAACACTTTATTTCCTCTAGCTTACTTTATTGTAAGAATACAGTATATAATACATATAACATACAAAATATGTGTTAATTGACTGTTTATCTTATTGGTAAGCCTCCCAGTCAACAGTAGGCATTCATTTATTTATTAGTTACATTTTTGGGGTGTCAAGAGTTATATGCAGATTTTTGATTGTACAGGGTGACAGTGCGCCTAACTTTTGTATTCTTCAAGAGTCCACAGCAAACTAATACAGGAGTTGAAAACGAAACACCTCATGTTCTCCCTCATAAGTGGAGTTGAACAATGAGAACACATGGACACAGGGAGGGGAACATCACACACTGGGGCCTGTTGGGCGGTCGGGGGCAAGGGGAGGAAGAGCATTAGGACAAATACCTAATGCATGCGGGGATTAAAACTTAGATGACGGGTTGATAGGTGCAGCAAACCACCATGGTGCATGGATACCTATGTAACAAACCAGCATGTTCTGCATATGTATCCCAGAACTTAAAAGTCAACTGTGTATTAGCAAGAAAGAAAAAGAGAGATAGAGGTAGAGAGAGAGAAAGAAATATCTTTTTTCATATATAAAATAACATGTATATTATATACTTAATATATAGTTATATAGAGAGAAATAGAATATGTATAATAAATAGAATATGATTCTGTTTCTCTTGAGAATCCTATACACAAATTTAACTTATGGGGCTTTTTTTAGTATTACATCAAAACAATTCATGTGCAAAGCTCTTATGATACAAGATACTAAAGTTGAGGTAATGTTTTTGTTTTTATTCTTAAAGTATCACTCTGCTACCTTTGTTCTTTGGACTAGATGGATATACATCTTATTGAAAATGTCTGTGGATTACAGTGCTTTCCACTCCCAATTTGTTCTCCATACAGCTGCTAGAATGACCTTCCTATGGGTTAAAGCCCCAGTAATAATAATATCAATAATAATATCAGAAGTGATTGCTAAAATGTGGGTAGATTTAGGCAGTCTTTTTATCATATAAATTTTGTTGTTTTATTTAAACCTATACATCTCATACAAGGCATACTGTACCTATTTATCTCAATATTTAAAATACTAAAACCAAAGCCTTATAGCTGTCAAATAATTTGTGCAAGGTCAAACCATTACTACAGAGTAGAAACAGGATTCAAACCAAATTCTGCCTCTCTCTATTGCCCACACTTCAACCATACTTCAATGCTGCACTTTCAAATTTAACATTTAAAAATGTTCTCCAGCTAGCCTACCTGCCCCATACATTTCACCTTTTTTTCTCCTCTAATAATACTTTTCTCACTTTGCCTGAATAATCCACCCCCTTTCAGATCTGTCTTTTGTGCCTCATCCTTCTTCCGATAATATTCTCTCTCCTACCTGGTGTACCTGGCAAACTGTTGCAAACTGTGGGATTCTGCTTAAAAGCAACCTTCTCTGGGAAAGGTCCTCTAACAACCAATCCACCTGAAGATGAAGTGTGTCATCTTCCTCTGCCATACTGAAGTAACATATACACTCATCTATTATAGCATTTATTATATTCTCCTTTAGCTATTTTTGCCTCCTTCAGAATTTGTATTAAATAAAGTCAAACCGCTGGGCGCGGTGGCTTACACCTGTCATCCCAGCACTTTGGGATGCCGAGGTGGGCGGATCACGAGGTCAGGAGATCCAGACCATCCTGGCTAACACGGTGAAACCCCGTCTCTACTAAAAGTACAAAAAATTATCTGGGCGTGGTGGCGGGCGCCTGTAGTCCTAGTTACTTGGGAGGCTGAGGCAGGAGAATGGCGTGAACCCGGGAGGCAGAGCTTGCAGTGAGCTGAGATTGCGCCACTGCACTCCAGCCTGGGCGACAGTGCAATACTCCTTCTCAAAATAAAAATAAAAATAAAAATAAAGTCAAACCAGAACATGTCCTACTTATTTTTTCTCTTAAATTATCTGGCTGACTATCTAACACATAAGGGATATTTGATAGATATATTTATTAATCAAGTGTTTGAGGAAAATAATGTAATTTCTTTAAAATTTGCTTTTAAAATGCCAGCAATATAATGATTAAATTAAAAACTAATTTGTTATATTTTTATAATAGAGACAAACTGTTGATAGTAAGAACTAGGTTAAGCAACGTGATTTAAAATATATCTTGATTATATTAATTGTAGCTTTTATATTTTTCCGAATTTACAGATTTTGAAAAAAAGAAAACATTTTATGAGTTAAATTTAGTAGACATTCTAGAAACCTTGTAATACACTGGGTAATTATACCTATTTCTGCTTACTCTCTGACCCAAGAATCAAAAAGAAAGAAAAATGAAAATTTTTAACTTCAGGCAAAAATAAGCATCTCGTTAACTACCCATGACTTAATTTTATAAGCATGAAATTCTGATACTAATGAACTACTGTATATAACCCTAATAATACTAAAAAAAATGAAAATGGACTGTGTGCAAAATGAAGTGTTCTACAGAAGTTATAAAAGAAAAGATGAAATATAAGTTGTTGCCGAGCAGAATATCAGTAGGTAAAGTCTGACAACTTTGGTTATTTATCTAGGTGTCACAAATTAAAATGCTTTTACCTGTGAAAGACAGGAATTTTTGAGCATGAATGTTCATCCTGATTTGAGACTTGCAGGAAAATAAACTGCTAATTTCCTTCTAGCTCAAATTGATTAGTGAAAACATAAATGCGCTGAACAACTAATAATAAGGGAAAGATCTATGGCATATTGGCAGGGTTTTTTTAAGTGTTAATAAAAAATTTGAGGATCAGCCTCCAATTCTTTCCTTTAATATTTCTGCACTTAAGGGTTTACTTATGTTCTTGTGCCTCTGTTTTCTAATCTATAAAATAAGGATGAGAATAATTCTTTTCACACTCGCTCACAGAGCTCATATGAATGCCAGATACATTAATCTTTATGAAAGTGCTTTGAAAGTGGTAAAATACTACAATGATATTGCTAATTTTATTAACATTGCTATTCATATTATATTTTACAAAAATGGATATTATGCCAGACTATTGTAAATGGAGTAAGTGAAGTACTATGAATGAACAAATTTTTAAAAAGCATTTGTTGAATATTCCAGAAAAATGTGTCTTTTAATTTGGGCCTAGAAATACTTCCTAATATGCTAGATATTTAGAACAGTATTATGAAAAATAAGCTCAGAGGAGATAACTTTGTTTTGGAAGGAGAATGAGTCATATATTCTTTAGCTTGTTTGACTTAATGCAAGCATCACTAAATGACTCTGCAGAAGGCTGAGGCTGAAGTAGTAAATGTTAAAACATTCCTGAAAAGATGAGATTCAGTGAGAGTACAAGCCACTCCCACTGGAGAAAGGCACGGTCTGAATTCAAGCCATTTTGCTAATTTCGGAGTCAAGACATGGGATTTTGATGTCTCAGATGATTCTTGAATACAGCTGAAGAACAAAGACACAGAGAAAGAGCTTTTCCTGATATTTCAATGCAGGTTCTTAGAGCAGAGGCCTGTTTATTGAAAGTGAGGAAATAATACAATAAATAACACCCTGAAGCAATCTTCTGTCCATTTCCCCACACTTGTTCTTTAGGTAAGTTATTCTTAAAAAGCAATCCAGTCGCACTTTTGGGTTGCATATGGCTCTTGATGTATCAGTTGGCAATGGCTCCTCCTGTACCATGATATTACTGTCACTGTGCAACCTACCACAAGATCTGGTAAGGGGAAGACTTGATCTTCAGCTGGATGATTTGAAGAAGCAGAATATCTATAGAAGTAGTACCAGAGCAGATCTGATATTCAGAATCTTTAGAGTCCTATTTCTGACACCAAAACCAGAGGTCTCACCGCTGATGTCTTTTCCTCAAGTTTATTGTGTAAGAATCAGTGGTACCAGTCTTAATGAGCTTATTCAACTACACGTGTAACTCATCAGAAATGAGATTATTAATATTAGTATAAATAATTGACCAAGTAAATCACAACTTAGTAAAATGAGAACAAAATTAGAAAGTTTAAACTGAGATCTTTAGCTGCATCATGGTGTCTGTTTTTCCCTACTGTTTCATTCAGCAATTTGAGGAATATATCATAACGATATGAAGGAAAGACATATGTTAAAAATATATTCATTGTGGTAATATTTTAAAATAGATAATTAGAAATAGCAATAATATCTGAAGAAAAAAATATTTACTAGTTTTATAGAAAATCCCTCTAGTGGAATACTATGCAACCATTAAATAATGCTGAGGAAAAATTGCACGAAAGGGATAACCTGCAGAATTATATGTAATTTATAGGTGTATAATATGTAACATCTAATATACACACACAGCCCCCCGTTTCCATGGGCTTCACATCCATGTATTTAATCACCCACAGATCAAAAATATTTTTAAAAAGCAACTATACTGAACATGTACAGACTTTTTTTCCTCGTCACTGTTTCCTAAACAATACAAGTCTTTGCATAAGATTTACATTGCATTATGTATTATAAGTAATCTAGAGATGATTTAAAGTATACAAGAGGATATGTGTAGGTTATATGCAAATTATATGCCATTTTCCATCAGGATTTGAGCATCCACAGATTTTCATATCCTTGGAAAGTCCTGGAATCAATCTCCCGCTGAGATAAGAGACAAGTGTACACACACATACACACACACACACACACACAGAGTTGACTAAAACTAGGTGCAACTATGAACTATCAAATTGTTGTCTGCAGTTATTTCAGAAAGTGCAATTTTATGATTATGTTTTATCAAAAATTGTCTCTGGTGTCAAAATCTTTACATAAGTCCTAGTACTTGTATAATAAGAAAAATAGTTATCTTGAAAAGTAGTCATGTGAAGAGAGGCACTACCTAAGTATGACATACATCAAAAAGAAAGCAGTTTCACTTGATGTTTACAGTAAAGAATCCCTTAGAACAGAAATGCCAGAAGACTATATATTGCTTCCCAGATTGGATACTTAATATGTTAAACATTGACACATTGAGAGTAATTTATCAATACTTTAAAATAATTACTGAAGAAAAATAAGCGCTCAAGCCAAATAAACTAGTGGAAAGAAGAGAAAAAGAAAAAAAGTCAAAATTGTTGACATTGTTTTAAAATAGAATTACTGAATTAATGAGTTGAGCGGTTTTCTTTTCCATTTAACTTTTGACTTATCTAAAGCAGTATTTTTGTTCTGTGTAGATGTAGGTACTTAGAGATAACTAAAAATTTCTCAAGGGTTGATAATAAAGTCTCTCAAAATCACACTGAAGCAGCAGAAGGTAAAAGACATTCTAACATCTTGTAAATTCATACCATGTAGGTGATATACTTAGTTATTTTACCAATGAAGAAATCAATCAACCTAAAATTAATTATATCAATATTTCAGAACCAATATTTATTACTGTTAAAACACTATCTGTATTCAACTGTCTTGATGAGAATCAAGAAAGCAAAGAGCAGAACAACATAATGACCAATTAACTGTTAACAGAAAAAAAAACAGACAAGCACGCTAAGAGTAACAATAGTGGCAAGTGGAATTTATTGAATATGATAAATTGCTATTTGAGGACAAAAAAACACTTGCGCCAAGTGTGAGAATAAATGAAATACCATACATTCTCCATGAAAATCTATTAAGCAAATATATTGCTTTTTAGAATTGTACAATTTTTTAAAAAGCAACAGAATGCTTTTACAAAATATTGGCCCTGGAGGGATAAATATTAAGCAAGAGAAACTTTCAATTAGTCTTGAGCTGCTTGAGGGGTGCTGCTTGATTGGGACAGTGGATTTGTTTTACTTCAGGTCTGTACTCTTAGGTGATGAGAATTACTGTTTGAGATATTGTGCACAGTGCCAATTCCAATATACGAAGAGCAGAGTGGCTGTAAATTGTAGGAAATCTATTCTCGGGCACCATGGGGAAAAGTTACAATAAAGCTGATGAAGATTAAACAGACTGTATATTTTGGTTGAGGCTACAAACCAATATCAAGATCAAACCAATAGAAATGGGTAATGTCTCCAATTGAAAAAAAAAAAGCTAGTTTTGGATCATTGTAAAAGGTAAAATCTTTTTGAAAACCAGTAAAGCCTGTGAGATCTTATTTTCTGTTGCATTATAGTATCTGGCATACATGTTATTCAGTGTATATTATTTAATGTTTATCTACCTGTGGCTATTTTCTATTTCTTTAAGAAAAATAAAAGCTCTTCAAAAAACACTTGAGCGCAGTATTTTCTTGGTTTCCAGCATCTACACCATTAACTTGCACATAGTAATCACAAAATATTTCTATGGTGATAAATGGTGTTTATGGATAAATATGATTAGTGAGTTCGATAAAAGGTCAACAGGGCAGAAAAAAAAAACTCAGATATTCTGCCAATGGAGAAGAAACAAGAGCACTTTCAAGAAAAATGCACATGATAGGAAGAAGCTTGCTATGAAGAAGATATGTAGGACTGCAAGTGTGAATTGGCATATGCAATGCTAAAGAGGGATTAGCTTTCCTGGGCCTATTTGATGTCATATTTTTTATCCGAGATGTCTCTTCTATTTCTGATTTCTCTGTCTTAGTTGCAACTGTGTTGGTGTATGTTTGTTTTTGGAAGGCAACTCTCCATCATATTTTTATATGTCTTGTGCTAGCTTTTGTATAGCAAAAAGCAATAGATGAGAGAAATAGTGGCTCTCTTTGGGGCACAAGGCAGACATGTTTTCTGATGAGTATAATAAAGATGATTTCTCCCTCTGGGGCAGAGTTTGGTCAGTTTGCTAGGAGCCTCATCACAAAATGTGGTTTTCCTAAGCTTGGAACTCCTCAGCTGTTGCACAGTCTCCCTATGTGCAGTCCACCTGGACTCCCTTCCCCATTGCTCCTGCGGGTCTTGTGGGAACAGGTAGAAGCTCATGTAAATATAAAATCATGCTGCCTACTGTTCTGTGACTAATAAAATCCTTTATCTGTGACCCAGGAGTCTCATGTCCTCTGCCACAATCTGAGAAACTGTGGTAGACTAATTTCACAGTTCTGTAAATTTGTAATGCTAAATTCTTGTTATGATTATTTATTTGGTGGAATGGCAAAAGAAGAGCACGTATATTGTATATTTATGGCTGAAAATCCACTGATAAAATGCAGAAGTAATAGCCTTTTGAATGTGACTAGAAAAATAAGTTTATTTTAAATATTTCAAAGCTTTCCTCTTTGGGTAAGAAAGGCCCTTATTTTTAAAAAGTAGTTATTTTGGATAAATAAGGTAATAGAGTTAAATTTCCACTTTTGATGGGACAGCTGTTGTCAAAGGCCAGAGATAAATGGACCTCTACATTTGTAATAAGCTGATTGATAAGTGTTTTGTTGTTGTTGTTGTTGTTTTTTTTTTTTTTTTTTTTTTTGAGATGAAATTTCGCTCTTGTTGTCCAGGCTGGAGCATAAGGTCGCGATCTCAGCTCACTACAACCTCTGTCTCCCGAGTTCAAGGGATTCTCCTGCCTCAGCCTCCTAAGTAGCTGGGATCACAGGCGCCTGCCACCACACCCAGCTAATTTTTGTATATTTAGTAGAGACAGAGTTTCACCGTGTTGGCCAGGTTGGTCTTGAACTTCTGACCTCAAGTGATCCATCCGCCTCGGCCTCCCAGAGTGCTGGGATTACAGGCGTGAGGCACTGCGCCCGGCCTGAGTGTTCTTTACTATAAGAAACCTAACATGAGATTAAGCTCTGGTCATTTTCAGGGACTGCGGCAGGCCCTGCTGTTTCAGGTAACATTAAACTTGAAATTCTACCTTTATTTCCTTGCTCATTTTGAGCAAACAACTGGGGAAGCATTCTCGGTGTTGGTTAAAATACTGCTGAGTATTCGTCATTATCACCTCCTCTGTCTCCAGCCACATTCATTGTAGGTAAATACCCAATTGTGAAAGCATTCTGCCCTGTAGAAGAGGGTAACTATTTGATGAAGTTAGCTGTAATTCTTTAGGCACTGCACACAATAAAAATCTCCACTCCGTATTTACTTTTTAGACTATGGTATTAAGTGATAATCCTTACTGGCATGTTTGGGGTTAGAGGATATTCCTCATGCATCAAATTTCTCAAGATTTTTCAGTGGCCAACAATGTGTTGTATAATACTTCTCATTATTTATTTATTTATTTTTTGTCTCATTGCCCTGCTTTGTTCTGACTTACTTATTAAAAGATATTGGAGATGTTTTACACTGAATCCCATGCATAATTTAAAGAAAATAAATCCCCTTGAAATTCTACATTTACAGCAGTTTATGATGAGCTTATTTTTATTTACTTATTTATTTTATTTTTTTGAGACGGAGTCTCACTCTGTTGCCCAGGCTGGAGTGCAGTGGCACCATGCCAGCTCACTGCAATCTCCACCTCCTGGGTTCAAGCAATTCTCCTGCCTCAGCTTCTCTAGTAGCTGGGATTATAGGTGCCCACGACCACGCCCGGATAATTTTTGTATTTTTAGTAGAGACAAGGTTTCACCATGTTGGCCAAGCTGGTCTCGAACTCGTGACCTCAGGCCATCCGCCCACTTCAGCTGAGCTCATGTTTTGTTGTATCTTATAGTCAGTAGACTGACTGAGTAGGACTCTGACTTTTTATATATCACAGTGTTCTGTCCACTCAGTGTTTCTACTCTATCTCTAATGTGATTCATACTAAATAAACCTTGTTATACTACAAGTATATTTCTTTATGATCATTATTCTCCTTATTATCTCTCCTAATTAAATAATCAAATGATTGCCTCCTAATTTATCTTCACACACTCATCTTACTTCAGTCACGATCAAAGAAGTCTTCTATTTACCTAACCACAAACACACGAGGCCGTCACCAACTCATTTTTCTACAGTGAATCTAAGTGAGGATTCTGTGACATAATTTTTCAGTTTTTTAAAACTTGTCTTAAGTATTTAAATTTGCTTCTCAATCTTAAATATATTCCTCTCCTCCCCAACCAAAATGAGGTAAATGTCAGCCTTTGGATTTGATTTAAATTTATACCGAGCTCTTTCATCGCAAATGCACACATCTCATCTCTGACTGCTTATCATTGAGATGACTGAAAGCAATTGTTTTAAGTGCCTAACTCAATATATCTACATTCATCTGTAGAACTTCGGCACCACACTCATATATATCACCATGTTCCATGCTCCTGTGATTCTCTCTATGGAGAATATAAGTCTCATAAGACATGCACTTGGCATTTGTCTTGAATCACTGTGTTAACCTAACCCTGCTGCCATTCCCTCACAAGATTGGATGGAAAAAATTACAGTCAAGTGTCAACAATTGAAGACTTGGGGAAAAAAGAGTAATGAAATATTGAGCACTTGTTATACAAATGGAAGCTAATACGCTCTTCTGAAGAAAAGATGTTTGAGCGAGATTTTTTTTCCTTATGTGTTAAAATGTTTTTCCTTGTCCACCAATCACCTTTTCTGTTCTTCAGTCATTGCTGATCCAATATCATTCGTACATTTGATATTTATCTGTGAAAATATAAGGAGCATAAAAAAAGAAATAATAACAAAATATTCTCTTAGAATAATGAATAGATTTCAATATGCAAAATCTAAATATATTTTGTATTGTCACAGCAATCTGGCAGTATTTCTGCCTAAGAAAACCATATCAAACTTAAACTTTTGAAAATGTTCCCTACATACAAATATTTTCACAGAATTGTTTACTGGTCTGTGATAGAATTACAAATTCTTATTCAAATTATAAATAAGGAAAATAGATTATATAAAAAAAAATCGTTTTTGTTTGGCCGGGTGTGGTGGCTCAAGCCTATATCCCAGCACTTTGGGAGGCCAAGGCAGGCAGATCACCTGAGGTTGGGAGTTCGAGACCAGCCTGATCAACGTGGAGAAACCCCATCTCTACTATAAAACACAAAAATTAGCCGGCATGGTGGTGCATGCCTGTAAGCACAGCTACTCGGGAGGCTGAGGCAAGAGAATCGCTTGAACCTGTGAGGCGGAGGTTGTGGTAAGCTGAGGTCATGCCATTGCATTCGAGCCTGGGCAACAAGAGAGAAACGCTGTCTCAAAAAAAACAAAAACAAAAAATTTGTTTTTATTTTTCTCAACACATTCCTGTACTCCGCTATGAAAATATTGCTCAATAGTCTAAAAACTATACAAAGTATTGTGCTGATAGAATGTCTCCATTATTTGTGATATTAATTAGAGATGGGTTAGCTTAATATTCATTACAGCAAAACAAATACTAATTAGTATCAAGCTGGAGAGTTTACTCTTACAAATTTCCTAACTTAAAATGATTTTTATATAACTAAATTAAGTGTAAACATATATCACTAAATCTTCCTGTTAATTAGTTCCAAGTAAGGTGGCATTTACTGTTTTGTCACATGTTGAAATATTTGCAAACATGATCTACTACCAAACTTTCAAACTATATCCTGACACTAATGTCTTAGTTAAATATGCCAATATTGATTTCTTAAGTAATATTTTAATTGTTATGAGACTTAATGGTGCTTTAATGATATAGAACAGGTTATGTTATTGCTCCATAGAATTTTGATGGAAATTTTGTATAAACCTAGTTATAAAAATTATTAGTTTAATATGATTTAGACTTAAGACTTATGCCATTTATTAAATCAGTGCTTTGATTAGCTGTTTATTGATGATATATTCAAACTATACTTGGTTCTTTTATCTGTTTTTAGTAAAAAACCTTAATATAGTATAATTAATGGGTTTTCTTGCTCTACCTTTAATTGCATAATTTGCAGCAATGACATACTGGGTCTCATGCTATATTTCTAATAACAAATATTTTAGATATTATAAAAATGGTATTGCCATCTTATATGAAGAAATCACATTTAAAATTATTGTTTTCTTTCTGTCATAACAAAATAGACCTTCATTCCCCCCCACAATGATAAATAGGTCCATTCGACAGATATACTGATATTAAATCTATAAATACATAGTAACAACTTATCAAAATATAGAAATCATTAATTGACATGACTCAATGGAAAATAACCTATTCTATAATAGCAGAAGGCATTAGTTCCCATTAACTATTACATCAAGCAAACAAAAATATCAGTAATGATGTAGAATATTTGCACAACACAATAACTTTGAGCATCAGTTCAGATGTAAAACACTGTGCCCAACATTGACATAATGTGCATTTTTATGTGAAAATAAAATATTTAGCAAAATTGATCATATGATAGGTTACTATACATTATTAGTTGAGATTTAACATACCTTAAAGTTGTAAAGTCACTTTGAAGATGTTCTCTAATCACTGTGGATTTAACAATTAATAGATCTTTCTGTAAAATACAGTGGGTGACACAGTTCTAAATGACTGTTGAATTAAAGAAGAACTCATAAAAGAAATTAGAAAATAGGCCAGATGCAGTGGCTCACACCTGTAATCCCAGCACTTTGGGAGGCTGAGGCAGGTGGATCATGAGGTCAGGAGATCCAGACCATCCTGGCCAACATGGTGAAATACCATTTCTACTAAAAATACAAAAATTAACCAGGTGTGGTGGCATGCGCCTGTAGTCCCAGCTACTCAGGAGGCTGAGGCAGGAGAATTGCTTGAACCCAGGAGGTGGAGGTTGCAGTAAGCCGAAATCATGCCACTGCACTCCAGCCTAGGCAACAGAGCAAGACTCCATTTCAAAAAAAAAAAAGAGATTAGAAAATAATTTGAACTTCATGATCACAAATATATGTCATATCAAAATTTGGGGTGTGCTTAAGGGCCACTTGACATGGTTTGGCTGTGTCCCCATACAAATATCATACTGAATTGTAGCTCCCACAATTCCCACATGTTGTGGGAGGGATGCGGTGGGAGGTTATTGCATCATGGGGGTGGGTCTTTCCTGTGCTATTCTCATGATAGTGAATAAGTCTCACGAGATCTGATGGTTTTATAGAGGGGTCTGCCCCAGGGGTTTCCCTTATATGTTTCCCTGCACAAGCTCTCTTCTCTTGTCTGCTGCCATGTAAGACATGCCTTTCACCTTCTGCCATGATTGTGAGGGCTCCCAAGCCATGTGGAATCATGAGTCCATTAAACCTCTTTCTTTTATAAATTTCCCAGTCTCGGGAATGTCTTCTTCAGCAGCATGAAAACGGACTAATATGGCACTTAACTAGAAAATTATAGCTATAGATGCATATATTTTAAAAGGAGAAAGGTTCAAAATCAGTAAGCTAATATTTTTCCCCATAAAAGTGGAAAAATAAGTAAATCTTATCCAAAGAAAGTAGAAATAAATAATTAAAGACAAGAATATAAATCAAATAAATAAAAAGCAGATATGTAGTACAGAAACATTAAAACTAAGAATTCATTCTTTGAAAAGATTAATAAACTTTATAATTCTCATACACTGCTGTAGGCAGTATCTACTAGAGATGAGCCTATCAATACAACATTTTCAATTCTAGGCTTGAAACCTCTTACCCCGATATAAACATATGTTCAGCAAGAGACTTGCACCTATATATTCTTAGCAGCCTATTCTTAATAGTTCCAAACTGGAAATTAACAAATATTCATCAATTATAGAATACATAAATAGACTGTAGTATATTTATATCATTGAAAGCCTTGCAGAGACGAGAATAAATAAGGTATGACTAAATACAATAACTTGAATGACTCTCAGAGACATGATGCTGAACAATACGCCAACAGCAAGGCACATATCGTGCATTATTTTATTCATATAAAGCTTAAAAGCCATGCAAAACTGAACTATGTTTTTTTAAGTTAGAATAGTGGTAAATCTTGTTGAAGAAGAGAGGGACCATGAAAAAGTATAAGGGACACCCCTGGGAGACTGGTCTGAGTGGGGGGTTTGTTTTGTGAATGCTGGACAAATATGGCCCCTGCCCTTTTTTGTATGTATTTTATAATTCAATCAATTTACAAAGAAATAAACCATAGTCACATTCAGTTTAGTCTAATTTGACAAAACATGTTTCTATATGTATTCCAGTATGAAGCACGTGGGGGTATACATATTCAATTGAAATCTAAAATATTAAGATTTCTAAATACACCTGTGTTGGGGCTCACAAAACAATACTCCAAGGTGGAATCCCCAGAAGCAGTTTTAGAAGTGAAGTTCCTCTTTGACATTTTCCTGCACTTCTATCTCTCACCCTCATTCTCCATGGAGGCAAGCCATAGAAACTAGAATCCCTCTTCCTCAAGGTGGATCATGGAAACCTGAATCCCTTTTCTCCAAAACCATCCATGAAACCTAAAAACGTTACTCTAAACTTTTCCCATCTTTCTTTGTAAAAACTGGCCATAAAAAAAATTCTCTGACCTACCTCCTTTGATGGTAGGTCATAAGACCCCCATTGCAGAACAAGACCTGCCCCATGCCTAGAAAGAAGGAATGAAGCACAGAGAGGCCAATAAGAAGTTAAACTAACAAGCCTTGTTGAATTTCCACCATGGTCTATTACTACCAGATCACACTCTTTTATCCAATCTCATTGCTACACAGTTGTCACAGCATCATGGAATCTAAGCATAAAATCAGATAGCTTCTTCTGTATCTTTGAGTCTTCAATCTGAAGGCTTTCATGTCATAAAAAACCGATCAAATAGATCTGCTATGTTTCTCTCTTGTGAATGTGTCTTTTGTTATAGAGGTGTTGGCAGTGACCCTTATGATAGGGAGGAAGTTACCCGCTATCTGCCCTTATAGCTGTTTCATCTTTTTAAAGTTGGAACTGTTGCCTTTACAATAAAAACAAACACAACATTTAAGAGTGACACAACACAAAGATTTATCATGATTCCAGTTCTTCATTAGATAAATGACAATAAAGACTTATTTGTGCAAAAAAATCTGATAGCTAATTTGGTTTAGAAAAAAATTATTGAGCCATAAAAAAGGATAATACTTTAAAAATAGTTTCTTTCAAGAGGCAACACTTTTAATGTTATAATCTTTATTCCTCTCACAGTGCTGTATGCTACATACCCTCAAATAAATGTTTCACTGATTTTTTAGCATTGCTTAATTAACATGCTAAAATATCAATTTACTAAAATGTTTACTTGAAAGTATATGTTCATATAAGTAGTTTGAGATGAACAAAATCTCTAACAATGAGAATGATGGCTTGAAAACAAGAGAGACCAGTACTGAACCCTTGGCATGGTACTATTCCTTACAAGTCCAATAAGCCACTGGCTGACAAGTTGACTACATTCAGTTCTTTCTGACCTGTTCAATTTATGGACTTGTTCTGACAGGCATGGATTTTGCACATCCTTTCTGCAGAGCATACATAGCACCACTGCCTTGGGGCTTAGGAAATGCCTATTCCACACTCATATGTTCCCACTCAGTATAGTAGCTGACCTGAGGAACGACTTCCCAGCAAAGGAGCTAAGAAGTGGCCTCCACTGGTCAATGCATTTACAATACCATCCAGAAGCAGCCTGCCTCATAGGACACCAGAGCCACCTTTAAAGGCACAGCTGAAACTCTACACTATTAAAAAATGTGGTGCCATCTTTTATAATGTAGTGGAATCATTAAATTAGATGCTTTAGTGTGCTACTGTGCCACCAATAAGAAGAATGAATGGGTCTTAGAAACAAGAGGTGAAAACAAGAGTGACCCCGTTAACCATAACTCTAAATGATCCAATAAGGTAATTTGTGTTTTCTGTATGTGCAACTGTGATCTCTAGAAGGTTGGAGACCCTTGTCCCCAAAGAATATAATATTATTAAAGAACAGAACAAGGGTCCCATTATACCATAAACAATGGCCACACCAGTGCACTTTAAACACTTCATATCCTTGGACCAGCAGGTGAAAATAGGACTCACTATCACAGCAGAAGTAGCTAACTCTGATCTGCAGAGAAAGTAAGGCTACATTTATACAATGAAGGCAAGAGGCAGCGTGTGCAGCCCAGATGATCCAGTTGGATGCCTCCTGCTCCTTCTGTGTCCCATTGTAATGGTGAGTGAGCATGCACGGCAACACTGGTCTGAAAAGAGTAGGATTGCTAAGGATTCAGACCCTCAGGAGTAAAGCCTCAGGTTATAGGTTATACCACCAGGTAATTCATCAAGACCGGAGAAGTGATAGCTGCAGGTGAGAGAGATTTGAATGAATAGTGGATGAAGGTAAGGGTGAGTACTAGTTACAGTCTTGAAGCCAAGTGCAGAAAGGGGTTGGAGGGGGTGGGTATTTCCTCCTCCACCTCTAGGTTTCTCTTCCAGAAGAAAAGTCCACAGGAATCACGGAGGAGCTGCTTCCTAAACCTGCACAGATGAGTAAACCCGATGGAGGATATGAAAGACACTGCTCAACTCTCCTAGTGTGGGATCTTTAATGACTGCGACACCTCTGTTTGTACAACAATGTTTGGGTTGTGACCACACTTCCTGTGCCTTCCCTGTGACTGACAATGGCAAGGGTACCAAGACAGGCCCATTATCAACAGAAGCAGGACTCCTCCTATGGACAATGTTGGCGGAGGAATCACAGGACATCTATGTTTGCCGGTTACCTCCTTACCAAAGGAAAAGTAAAATTCATCCTATTTTATTTTACAACTTGGAGCAAGGCAGCAATGAAAATTAAGTAAGCTTCACGGACATTAGGACATAGGGCTGCCATCTTTTTTCATGATTACATTTCAAAAGCAAGACCCCAAAAATCTTGAGAAAGACAATCCTGGGTTGTAAAGCTAGCAAAAAGCTATTAAAATGTTATATGTCTCAAAGGGGCAGAGAAAGAAATTACAATGATGCATTTTCTAAAGTAAATGCTCCTAGAAAAGGGAAAGGAGAGACCTCTGTGGTTAGGCCATCTGGATTCTGTCAGGGCTGGAGGCCAGAGGCCTAGAAGCAGAAAGAAGCCTGTCTAAATTTTAATCAAGCTGAGGGGAACTTTAAGCTGTCTTGGTCACCTCCCGGGCAATCCTACACTTTTTTCTGCACCCCTCCACCAATGAGTCTTTTGCATGTCATATCCCTTCTTGTCGTCCTCTTGTCAGTCGACTCAAATTAACATAACACATTATCACATGGATCTACCTCATGAAACAATGTAGCTCACTTACAATAATGTCTGGCATGTAGTTAATGAGAGTATCAGAGAGCTTGCTGACACCTAAATGCCGTGTCTGAGTTTACACTTGCTTCAACTGCCATAGTTACTTGGGGATTGACTTGAGGAACACAGGGTACTGGACTTCAGTTCCCATTGATTCCCTTATCTTGTAGCCCTTCGTTAGAGCACAAATCAGCAGTTTTGGCTATTACTATTATTTCCATTGCCTTTACTCCATGTTACTATCTTGTTAATTATCTTGTTAATTGCAGTGGTATTTTTGTCTTCCAACTGGATTCTTCTTATCTTTTGAATGGAAACACACACATGTATACTTGTGCACACACACGCATACACACATACTGACTCCAACCAATTTCTTATCTGCAGCACATGAAGAATCCTAAGTTGACCTAAAAACTCAAAACATCTTAGAAACTCAAAACATCCTCTTGTAAAAGTATTACAGTATATATGCCCTTATAATTCCTATAGAATTTAAACAAAGGCAATTCTAAATATAAATACTGTATTTATTATAAAAAGTAGTGTTATACATGGCTGAATATATACTTTATTGATTACACATTACCATATGAGTAATATAGGCATGAATAATTCTAACTTCTCTCAATATTTTCACAGATTTTATTTTTAAGGTTTTCATTTAACCTGTCATATTAGTGAAGACTTACAATAACTACTAAAACCATTAGTCAATCATTGGTATGCTTTCAATTATTTGAATATATTGGGCATGAATAATTAATCTTTTCAGTTCTCATTTTAATATTTGTCATTATTCAACCTGTAGAACTCTCCTACCCCAACCCATACACATGAGCAGAGCCATTTCTATTATACTTTCTTTTCCCTGTCACTGTATTATGTAGTGTTAAGGGGAACTTGAAGGAAATTCATAATACTTGAGGTCCATAATATGCCTATAACTGGGTTCAGAATTTCATATAAGTCATCTTATTTAATCCCCCCAATACTGTGTGGTTGGGAACACCATCCATATTTGTAAGAAGATGAAAACTAAATCCAAGCGAAGATAAATTACTTACTCAGGCTCTCAATTAGAAAACAGTAGAGTCAGGAATAAAGTGCAGGCTTGTCTGACTCCAAAGGCCATGACTTTTCACTCTATGACTTATCTCCCTTTCCATTATACTATTAAAGTCATCAACCAATGAATGCACATGAACTTAGCAATATATATTACAGTGACATGTTTATATATTTTATTAGCATTAAAGTAAGCTAATGGTTATTGCCATATTACTCAGATATATGTTGCATAGTCTTAATGGTTATTGCAATATTAATAAGATATGCACAGAATTTCTGTGGTGGTGGTGATTGCCATTTTAAGAAGATATATGAAGAAGTTTCTAGGCTACAAAAATAATAAATATGCTGAAGAAAAACACTGTCATGAAGCATATTCTAAGAACTGCACCGCGTGAATGGTTATGGATTATGAAAGTAATTTTCCCGGAAAGTTTTAATATCTGTTAAATTTAAAGTTAAAAGGACATAGAGAAGATATGCTTAAATGGTCTCCCTGTCTTTAGGTTCTTCCTGCTTCAGTCCATCTGATAGAATACTCTTTCTCCTGAAATACAGCTTTGATTATGTTAAATTCGTTTTCTAGTTTTCATTAATTTAGTACGGACAGAATAATAAAGTCTATTTCTTTGAGCTGATATAATAAGCCATTCATGACCTGACCTGACCTCCTGACCTGCTGACTCTCATCAAACTTGCTGCTTTCTGTTTTTTTTGTTTTTGTTTTTTGTTTTTTGTTTTTGAGACGGAGTCTTACTCTGTTGCCCAGGCTGGAGTGCAGTGGCGGCGCACTACAAAAATTAGCTGGACGTGGTGGCGCAGCGCCTGTAGTCCCAGCTACTCGGGAGGCTGACGCAGAAGAATCGCTTGAACCTGGGAGGCAGAGGTTGCAGTGAGCCGAGATCGTGCCACTGCACTCCAGCCTGGGTGACAGAGTGAGACTCCGCCTCAAAACAAAAAAAAAAAAAGAAAAGGGAAATTTTTACAAGTGTTCATCAATAACTCTGTTTTAAGGTTGGGGTTTGGTGGATTCTCTTTACTAAAGTAATGAACTGTGCTTTGAATCGCAGTTAACAAGATATTTCAATTAACCATACCAGAGCAGGCCAGGCACTGTGGCTCACACCTGTAATCCCAGCACTTTGAGAGGCCGAGGCAGGCAGATCAACTAAGGGTGGGAGATCCAGACCAGCCTGACCAACATGGAGAAACGCTGTCTCTACTAAAAATACAAAATTAGCTGGGAGTGGTGGCACATGCCTGTAATCCCAACTACTCGGGAGGCTGAGGCAGGAGAATAGCTTGAACCCGAGAGGCGGAGGTTGCACTGAGCCAAGATAGCCCCATTGCTCTCCAGCCTGGACAACAATAGTGAAACTCTGTCTCAAAAAAAAAAAATAATAAAATAAATAAATAAACAAATAAACAAACGCTAGAGCATCTTTTGGTTCATTATACTACCTTTTATGTTTTTCCTTCTGTCTGTATTGTAAAATGTGGCAAAGCTTCAGGTCTCTTTGTGGGCTGCATTGAGTCTACTGATTAAATTCAATAAGTTTCTAAGTTTCACACTGAGTACACTCTTAGAGATCCCATCTAAAGAATTTTAAAATGATCTCATCTATCTTGGATTCTTAAATGTTTGGATCTACTATATGTTTACTTCATTTCTTTATTTTTAAATTAATTGAAAGTCTTTATTCAAAAGTCCATCTAATAGCTCCATAATCTGTCATTCTTGGGTGGTCTAATTCTGTTACTATATTTACTAATATATAATTAATGATATATTTTTCTTTTTGGCCTAGGTATTTAATATAACTTTAACATTGAGTTAAAGTAAATCATTGAGTATTAAAAAAACTTTTTCATTTTTAAATATATTGCAAATGATTTATTCCAATATCTATTTTAAAATCATTGTATGTTAAATCCTGTGTTTTGTTATATTTAATATTAATATAATTAATCTTTGGACATTATTTATAAAAGCTTTTTCTCATTTATAACAACACACAGTACTAGTATTTTCCAATACTTATTGAGTTTTGCTATTTATGATTAGCTTTTGAATTTCTATTAAATTTTGTTAATGTAAAATAAAAATCTAATTTTAATTTCCATATATTGGGTCAATTATATCAACAGTAATTATCAAATAGCTAATATCCCATGGATTTTAAATTTAAAATTTATAATATAATAAATTTCCATATGGGGGGAAAAGGATGACTAATGTGAGATGGTGGATTTGTCCTAAAAACGGCGATGCTATAGAATTGCGAGGAATATGTAAATTTGAATGTGAAAAACTGACATAAAATCTGTGTGAAGATTCTATAAAAGTAGAAAGCGTGTAAAAAAGCATAACATTCCAGGATATAGTGTGTGTGTTTAGGGACTAATCAGAGGAAGCTAATAGATAGGGATAAATATTTCTATTTATTTAAATGGTGTTTTGAATCTTGGACTGTTCCATTGCCACTGTATCATTTGTAATCTCTTAAGTATTTTGTAACATTAATGAAATGTTAAGGTGAAAATAATGTCGATGGATTCGGAATAATATATTGATAAATTTTAATTTATATGTGTGATTTTAAAAAATTATAATTAATAATAATAGAAAAAGTAACATTTTAACTTTTTAAAGCCTATACCACACTTAAAACAATCATAAAAATTTGTGAAATAAAATACATTTAGTTTACAATTAGAAAAGGAATTTATAAAGCATGTCTCCCATTACTGCCATGTTCAAATTGAAGCCTACTACTGTTTTAAAACAAGAAAAAGTGTAAGAAGACAAAAAAAAGTAATGTCTGTTAGAATGAGAAGATAATCAAAATTTTTATTATTTGCAGATTATATTGATTATAGTTTTTCAAATCCAATAGAGTCTGAAACTACAAAATGATGAGAGTTTATATGACTCCCAAATATAGTATTGACTCATAATTTATTAATTTTTATATAGAACAGTACTTACTAAAAAATGAAAACAGTAATACTGTTGCAAATAAAATTTAAATTATGTAAAGGTTAATACTTAAAGAAGTCACAAGATAATTAGTAAGAAAAAATTATGCTAATCAGCAATGTAAACATATAAATTAAACAAAAGGCAGAGATAAATAATTCATAGATTATATATCTTCATATTGTAAAACTGCTAATCCCTCTACCAGTTCAGTAACAAAAAATGTGTTTAAATTCAAAGAAAAAAATTCAAGTATACATTTTGTGGAACCCTTCACATTTATAATTTTAAAAGAATAAAAGCCCATCACTAATTAACTTCTCAACAGCAAAATAGAAATCATCTAAGCAGATGTAAGAATATACTACAGAGGCAAATCGTTTTTAAAAATAATTCTACCAAACAACAGCAACAAAAACAACGGGAAAAGAAAGAACCAATAGACCACACTGGAAAGCTTAGAAACAAATGTACAGAGAGAGATATGACAATGGAGACACCTGAAGTAAATGGGGGATTGGCTAGAATATTTAGTAATTAGTCTAAGACAAAATGGCTCACCACACACAATGGATAAAAGCCAAAATTTTGTCAGAAAGTGTGTAAAAATAAATTAAGTTTATGAAGCAATTTACAGAAAATGTCAAATTATAAACATAAGTAACTGTAATCTTGAGGCAGGCAAATAGCTCTTTAGAAAGATTAAAAGTACAGGAGCGATGTCAGAAAAATGTTTGACTAGAATTGACTGATACACATTCCCTCCCCCACCAAATAAAGGGATTAAAACAATAAAAACATTATATTTCTACTGCCGTGATTGAGGCAGTGTGCTGGAGAGCACCAAGGTAGTGGCAACATCTCTGTGGAGCATTAAAACTCACGATAGCACCATAGAGAGGGTAACAAAATACCCTATTTCTGCTATAGAACCTTCTCTTCTGGGGTTGGCTTAGATTAAAGAGGGACTTCTTCTGGGACAAAGATAAGCTGGAGTCCTCCCGATGTCCCCATTACTACCATAGACATCTGCAGTCCTTGCTAGAAGAGAGTCTTGCAGTCCTCATAGGCACCAAACCTAGTTTGTAAAGTTGCCTGGAATTCACGAGGCTGCATTTTCTCAGAGTAGAAGCCTATTTTGTGCACCCTCCCACCCCTTAGCTGCTATATAGCATGGCACCATGTTGAAACCAGACCCACCACTAGAGTACATCCTTACCTGGGGGCCAGAAGCCACTGCATCTTTATACACTGGAAGTGTGGCTGTCATTCCGTTATGCTCACATAGTTGGCTGCACTATAACAAATCCAGCTGCTTGGTGATAGGAGCAGCAGAATAACTAAAGAATTCCCCTGCCAACACTCAAACCCACATGGTACCCCAAACCCCAGGGAAAAGGCAGAACTCACAAAGAGGAAACCAATGCACAAATAACCAGTCTGACAAAACTACAGACTTCACTGACAAGGATTATAGCTGAAGAAACTGACCAGAAACTATGCTACTGAGTCTACCTAGAACCATAGCCAATGCTCCATACCCAACTGACACACCAGGACCCATCTACAGAAAAAAAAACAGTTTCTCTACAAAAGTTACTTCATGAAATTGGAAAAGAAGACTTTTCACTAGATGGACAGATGACAACACATAGGGATACAAGAGGGAAATATGAAAAAGCAAAAACAACAGCAGCAACAACAAAGAAACACAATAATTCCATAGTTATAGACCACAATGAAAAGAAAATTTGCAATATAACTGAAAAAATTGAAAATAATAATCTTAAGGAAAGTGAGAGATACAATAGAATATAAACAAATGATTCAATAAAATCAGTTATAATTCATGATTTGAATAAAAGTTAACAAAGAGAGAGATGTAAAAAAGAGCCAAACTAAAAAATCGTGGGGCTAAATAATTCAATAAATGAAATAAAAACTAAAGGGGAGAACTTTGACAACACACTAGATTAAGCAGAAGAAAAAAATTTTCAACTTAAATACAGGCCTTTTGAAATTATCCAGTCAGAGGAAAAAAGAAATGAGAATAAACAAAAAATAAAGAAAATATGTGGAACTGATGGGACACCATTAAGTGAACAAATATGCAAATTATATAAATGACTAAGGGAGAAGAGTTGAATGAAGGCACAGAAAGCATATTTAATGAAATAATACCTCCATACGTCCTGAAAGAAATATTAACATTCAGATTCAGGAAACTCAAAGTCCTCCATTAGGTTAAACCCAAAGAAATCCTCTCCAAGGCACATTATGATCAAACTGTCAAAAGTCAAACATAAAGAGATAATTTTAAATGTTGCAAAAGAAAATTATCAAGTCACATACAAAGAGTTCCCCATTAGACTTTTCGCAGATTTCTCAGCAAAAACCTTGATGCTAGAAGAGAATGGGATTATATGTTAAAAGTTCTGAAAGAGGAAAAAAAAAGCCAATAATACTGTTCCACCAAATCGATCTATCCTTTAGAAAAAAAGAAAAATAAAGATTTTCCAAGTCAAGCAAAAATCTGAGGGAATTGATCACCATAAGACTGGCCTGAAAAAAAAATCTTGAGGGGTGCTAAAATTGGAAATGAAAGGGAAATAATTAATGTTATAAAAACACGTGAAAATATAAAAACCACCTGTAAGGACACATTTGTAACCAAACTCAGAATACCCTAGGGACATAATGGTGTTGTATCCATTTCTTAATCCTCTAGTATGAGGGTTCTAAATTCAAAATAGTTTAAAACAGGAGCTACGAATTCTGGTTAAGGAAAACACAATAGATAAAGATGTAAATTAAGGCAACAAAAATATAAATTGAAGGGGACAGGAAAACAGTTCAGAGTATTTTTCTGTGACGAAAGTCATGAGTTATCAGCTTAAAGTAATCTATTATCACCAGGAATAGTGGCTCACACCTGTAACCCCAGTGCTTTAGAAGGCTAAGCTGAGAAGATTACTCAAGCCCAGGAGTTGAGACAAGCCTGGGTAACATAGCAAGACCCATCTCTACAAAAAATTTAAAAAAAAAAATAGCTGGCAAGGCACGGTGGCTCATGCCTGTAATCCCAGCCCTTTGGGAGGCCAAGGCAGGCGGATCATGAGGTCAGGAGATCGAGACCATCCTGGCTAACAGGGTGAAACCCTGTCTCTACTAAAAAAAAAAAAAAAAAAAAAAAAAAAAAAAAAAATTAGCCGGGCGTGATGGTGGGCAACTGTAGTCCCAGCTACTCGGGAGGCTGAGGCAGTAGGATGGTGTGAACTCGGGAGGCGGTGCTTGCAGTGAGCTGAGATCGCACCACTGCACTCCATCCTGTGTGACAGAGCAAGACTCCATCTAAAAAAAAAAAAAAAATTAGCTAGGCATGGTAGCATGTATCTGTAGTCTTAGTTGCTTAGGATGATGAGGTGGGAAGATCCCTTAAGCCCAGGAATTTGAGGTTACAAAGAGCTATGATCATACCATTGCACTCCAGCCTGGGCAATTAGTGAGGATCTGCCTCTTTAAAAAAGTCCATTATAAATATAAGACTCTTTATGTTAGCTCCATGATAACCCAAAGAAAGAAATTAAAGCAGATACACAAACAAGAAAGAGATAGGAAACAAAGCTTGTAACTACAGAAAGCTACCAAATCACTAAGAGAAAAAGAAAGAAACAAAGTATCTATAAAACAACCAGAAAACAATTAACAAAATGACCTAGGTAAGTCTTACATATCAATAATAATCTTGAATATAAAAAGATTATATTCTCCAATTAAAAGATTGGCTGCATAGATTAAAAATAAAAATAAGACTAACTATATGCTGCCTACAAGAGACTCACCTCAGGTTAAAGACAAAGTAGAGTGAAAATGAAGGGATGGAAAAAGATATTCTATGTAAATGGAAGCCAAAAGTAAGGGGTAGTAGCCATACTCAGATAAAATAAACATTAAAGTGAAAATCTGTAAAAATGGACATAGAAGGTCATTATATGGTAATAAAGTGATCTACTCAACAAAAGGATATGATAATTATAAATATATACATACCCAACACTGGAGCTCACAAATATATAAAGCAAATAGTATTAGATCTAAAAGGAGTGAAATATTGTGATATAGTAATAGTAAGGAATGCTAACGGCTCACTTTCAACAATGAACAGATCATCCAGACAGAAAATCAGCAAAGAAACATTCAACTTAAACTGCACTGTAAACCAAATGGACCTAACAGATATTTACAGAACATTCTATTCAACAGCTGCAGAGTACACATTTTTCTCCACTGCACATAAAACATTCTCCAGGATAGATTACACATTAGGCCACAAAACAAGTCTTATCAAATTTAAGAAGTTAAAGATTATATCACATGTATTTTCTGACCATAATGATATAAAACAGAAAATCAACAACAATGACAAAAAATTTCACAGACAACACATTCCTAAATAATGAATGGGTCAATAAAAATTTATTAGGGAAATTTAAAATAAACAGCTTATTGAGAAAAATGAAAATGGCAATGCATTCTAACAGGAATTATGGGACACAGCAAAAGCAGAGTCCTAAGAAGGACGTTTACAGCAATAAATGTCTGCATCAGAAAAAGAGAGTTCTAATAAAAAACCTGGCCAGGCACGGTGGATCACGCCTGTAATCCCAGCAATTTGGGAGGCTGAGGTGGGTGGATCACAAGGTCAAGAGATCGAGACCTTTCTGGCCAACATGGTGAAACCCTGTCTCTACTAAAAATACAAACAATTAGCCAGGTGTGGTGGCGGGCACCTGTAGTCCCAGCTACTCGGGAGGTTGAGGCAGGAGAATCACTTGAACCTGGGAGGCAGAGTTTGCAGTGAGCCGAGATTGTGCCACTGCACTCCAGCCTGGTGACAGAGTGAGACTCCATCTCAAGAAAAAAAAAAAAATAATAATAATAATAATAATACAACCTAACAATGCACCTCAAAAACTAGAAACACAACAAAATAAACCCCAAATTGGTAGAAAGATAGGAATAATCAAGCTCAGAGCAGAAATAAATAATATAAAAGCTAGGAAAAATTCAATAGATCAACAAAATGAAGAATTGGTTTTTGAAATGGTAAAGAAAATTAATAAACCTTTAGCTAGGCAAAAAAAAAAAAAAAAAGAGACAAAATCGAAGATGAAAAAAGTGACATTACAACTAATAACACTGAAACACAAAGATAATCAGACTATTATGAACATTTGTATACTAACATATTTGATAACAGAAGGAATGGAGACATTTCTGGACATATACAACCTCCCAAGACTAAATTATGAAAAACAGAAAGTCTGAACAGGCCAATAAGGAGTGAGCAAATTGAATCGGTAATATAAAGTTTCTCATAAGAGAAAAAGCTAGGACCTGTCAGCTTCACTGTTAAATTCTTCTAGACATTTAAAGAACTAATAACAAATTGTTACAAACTGTATCAGAAAATTGAAGAGAAGGAAATGTTTCTATATTTGCTTTAAGAGACTAACATTACCATGACACCAAAATCAGAGAACACAACTTAGAAAACTACAAGCCAATATCCCTGGTGAATATAGATGCAAAAATCTTTTTAAAAAACAATAACAAACTGTATTCAACAGCACATTAAAAATATTATTTACTATGATTAATTGGGATTCTTCCTAGGATGCATCAATGTTTCAACATAGATATGTTGATAAAATCCAACAAATTAGGCATAGAATTTATGGATGTCAAAACAATTAAGGTAACATAAGACAAGCCCACAGCTAACATCATACTAAATGGGGTAAAGCCAAAAGCTTTTTTTCTAAGATCTAGAACAAGACAGGGATGCCCACTTTCACCATTCTTATTCAGCATAGTACTGGAAGTCCTAGGCAGAGCAATTAGGCAAGGGAAAAAAATAAAAGGCATCCAAATTGGAAAGGAGGAAGTCAAACTTTCTTGTTCGAGGATGATATGATCTTATGTAATAAAAGCTCTAAATAGTCCAACAAAAAACTTTTAGAACTAATTTAAAAATTCAGCAAAGCTTTAGGATACAAAATCTACATTCCAAATTTAGTAGCATTTCTATATACTAATAGTGAAGTATCTGAAAAAGACACGAAGAAAACAATTCTATTTACAATAGCTGCAAAAAATAAGATACCTATGAATAAACTCAATCAAGACAATGAAAGATCTCTACACTGAAAACTATAAAACGTTGATTAAAACATTGTATTTGACATAAAGAAATGAAATGATATCTCAGAACACTAATTGGAATAATTAATACTGTTAAATGGACATACTACTCAAAGTGATTTATAGATTTAATGCAATTTCTATCCAAGTACCATTTGCATTCTACACACACACACACACACACACACGCAAATCTTAAAGTTTATGTGGAACCACAAAAGATCCTGAATTCTCAAAACAATATTAAACAAAACAACAAAGCTAGAGTCTTCACACCACCTGACTTCAAAATATATTACAAAGCTCTAGTAAGCAGCATGGTACTGCCGTAAAAACAGACACATAGAAGAATGGGACAGAATAGAGAGCCCAGAAGTAAACCCATGCACCTATAGTCAACTGATTTTTGACAAAAGTACCAAGAGCACACATTGGAAGAAAATATATACATGCAGAAAAATGAGACTAGACCCCCTAGCTCTCACCATACACAAAAATAAACTCAAAGTGGATTAGAGACTTAAACATAAAACCTGAAATTCTGAAACTATTACAAGAAGCATAGGGCAAAAGCTTCATGGCATTGAACTGGACAGAATTTTTTAGACAGGAACTCAAAAGCACAAGCAACAAAAACAAAAACATACAAAGGGGATTATATCAAAGTAAAAACTTCTGCTCAGCAAAGAGAACAATTAATAGATTGAAGAGACAACCCACAGAATGGGAGAAAGTATTTGCAAACTATCCATCTGATAAGGGGTTAATATCCAGAATATATAAGGAACTTAAATCAATAGCAAGAAAAAAATAGCCTGATTGAAAAATATGCAAAATATTTTAATAGACATTTTTAAAAAGAAGACATGCAAATGGCCAAAAGGTGTATAAAAAATGCTCAACATCGCCAATCATCAGGCAAATGCAAATCTAAACCAAAATGAGATACCACTTCACTTCAGTTAGAATTACTATTATCAAAAAGAAAAAAACGAAAACAAACGTTGGTGAGGATGTGATGAAAGGGAAATATTACATAATGGTGGTGGGAATGTAAATTAGTACAGACACTATGGAAAATAGTATTGATATGGACAGGAGGCAGGAGGGTGGGGTCCCTAGTGAGGGACCCATGGACCTAAATGAGAACAGCCATTCCTGTTTTTGTGCCCAGCTGTTGCCTTTTGGCCCACCACGCCCCTCTATCCTGCACCCGTACAAACCTCAAGCTCCAGAACAGAAGAGCAGAAGAGCGGCAGAGCAGCAGACTGGCATGGCAGAGAAGGAGAGAAGAGAAGGAGCATCTGAACGTTGAAAGGAGTTTGGCTAGGGACAGTTAGAGAGGAGATCGGCCACGGGACTGCTGAACTCCAGGGAAAGATTATCTTCCCACTCCACCCCCTTTTCAACTTCCAATCCATCCCGCTAGAGCCACCCCCATCACCCAATAAAATCCCCGCATTCAACATCCTTCAAGTCCATGTGATCTGATTCTTCCTGGACGCTGGACAAGGATCTGGGTACTAAGAGGGCAGAGTGTAAAATGCTGTCATCTTGGCTTTCCACTGAGCTGGTTTAACACTTAGCCATTCCTGAATGGCAGGGCTAAAAGAGCATTGTAGCACACTCCCAGCTGCTACCATGGGGCCAGAGCCCAAAAACACTCACCCTGGTTCCTGCACCTGCCCACTCGCATGCTCCTCCTCCCATAAGGGGTTTGAGTGTTTAGCAGTGGAGCAAGGGAGCTACACCCCTGTCGCAAGTCCCATAGTGGGGTCAGGAAACTCTCCCATTTCATCATGAAAGTTCCTCAAAAATTTAAAAATGTCATTTGAGAAACAATGGACCAACCTGAGGGACACTTTGTTAAGTGATTCACTCATATGAGGAATCTAAAAAAAAAAAAGTTGATTTCCTAAAAGTAGAGAATGGAATGGTTACCGTAGACTAGAGAGGAGTTGGAGGACGAGAGGATTGAGAGAGGTTGGCCAATGGGTACAAAGTTACAATTAGACAGGAAGAGTATGTTCTGACATTCTATTGCACAGTGGGGCATGTGGTTTGCCGTAAGGTATCATATACTACAAAACAGGTAAAAGAAAAGATTTTCATTATTTTCACCACAAAGAAACAATGAATGCATGAGGCAGTGGATATGCTAATTAACCTGATTTGATCATTATACAATGTATGCATATATCAAAACATGAAATTTTACCCCATAAATATATATAATAAAATTTGTCAATTAAAAATAGAAATTAAAAAGGAAGATAAAAAGCATAATTCATAAGCAGAAAAATATTCGTTTGAATGTATTGAATCTAATGATTTTATTCAATGGATAAGTCTATGCAATATATTCATTAATGCTTGAAATTCACACAATGTATGTAATACTGACAGTATCTGTAGAATGCTTCAGAAAAACTGCCATGTAACGCATAAGGGCACAGACTCAAGGAAGATTGCTGGTGTTCAAACACTGACTCACAATTTGCTAGGTTTGTGTCCTTGGCACATTTCTTAACATTTTGTATATCAGTTATTTGTTTCAGGGTTATTATGTGCATAGCATTTTTATGAATATTAATTAAGTTAGTACATGGAAAGTGATTAAAATATCACCTGGAATAAAATGAACTCTTATGATATTTAAGCTATGAATTTTAGTTTTATTATTTTTATTATATTTTACTATAATAACATGAATATACAATTTAGGTAATCAAATATAGACTTACAATCCAGTAACACACATACAGGAGAACAAATAGTCATATAGGCACAGATATAATTAGGCAATTCATATATGGAGATACAAAAGATTAATAATAAATGATGAAGAACTATTTTTACATTTGCATATTCTTGGAATGAGAGGTAGTCTGTGTTTCTTGCTTAACATGGTTTAACAGACTTTTTAAGCTGTACATCATTGATGGGGAAGGAGATCTTAAATTGGATGGGATCACATCATTTATAAATAATATGAACACTACTTTGACTCACAAGTAATCAGAGAAATGCAATTTTCTTAAAAAGAGACTGTACACTTACCATATGAGCTGAAAATTCAAACTTTAAATAACACTAAATTCTGATGAGGATTTTGGAAAGCAGAAATCATCCTGCACCTCTGGTGGGAGTGTAAATTTGTCAATGAATCTGGAAAGCCATTTGGAAGAACTTAATAAAAGTAGTGATGTGCATAAGACAAACCTCACCCTAGGTATATATACAATGTATACATTCAAGATAAATTATTACAAAGGACATAAAAAGACTTAGACATTGGTACAATTAGAAATTTTTTTTGTATGAATGAGGATTTTGAAACCACCTAAATTTTTATCACTAGGGGCATATCAGACTCTATGGAATACAGTGAGCACCAAACTAGATGAATACATAGCAATGTGGACTGAACTAACACACGTAATGATGTGTGAGAAAAATCCAGAGTGAAAAAGGTATATGGCAAAATATTCATGTAAATTAAACATACATGCACGGGCTAAACAACATAACTAAAGTTGTAAGTAGATGCTCAAGGACGTGTAACATTTTTTGAGTTTGACATCTACTGATGTTAGGGGAATAACAGTGAAGATTAAGGATAAAATGTAAAAAAAAAAAATAGATAAAGTTGTTCATTTTTTTCCAGTGATGAAAATGTGCTATTAATGAGAAGACAGGTCCTGCATGCTAGATTGGAATATAAATTAATGAGAAAGTGAAGGAATATTATGCTGGTTTGAGCCTCTATATTCTGTTTTATCTGTATTTGGTTTGTTTCTGCAAAAGCACATTTTTTGGACTACTTTTATTCATTGTTTAAAATTTTACTTTCTAGAGTTCTTATCTCTTCAGTTCGTTCATCATTTTTAGAATATTCTTAAATAATCTTTTTAGAATTTACATGTCAACTTTCATAAAAACATAATTGGTCTTTGATATTGCATTCAATTTGAAGATAAAAGGGGAAGAATTTGCTATTTTGCATCATTGGATATTTTCATGCTTGAACATCTTATATTCAGTGTTTATATTACAGTTTTTTAAGATACTATTAACATATTTTCTGTAAAGGAACTGTAATCATCTTGTATGTGTTAATGTTAATTCTGTGTAACATTTGCTTCTATTTTGATCCAAGGATGCTTAAGATATTTTCTGTTACATTTTCCAATTTGTTATTAGACAAGAAAACCAGATACTTTTGTACATTGTTTTCCAAAAACTTCCTGAAATTTCCTGGTGGTGTTAATAATTTTCCAGGTAATTTTATAGTTTTCTTTTGTGTTGTTTTAGGGAAATTAGATATTGAATGCAAATACTGCCATTTCTTTTTTCTCTTCTTATGCAATATTAAAGTCTAATTTTGTTATGTTAGTGTGTTTAATTTCTATCTGTCATTTAAAACATTTGTTGATCATCTCATTTATGTTGTCATCCAATTGCTTGATGTACTTGATGTATATTTTCTATTGCACTATACACTTAGCTATCATGGGATAGTCTCTATTTGATTATGTGTATTATCCAACTAATGTGTGTAAATGGAGGTTTCTATTATTATTCTTTAAGAATCCTTATTCAGATTTCAAGTTAGGCTTATCATAGTTATATAAAGTAATTATAATTATTTCTGGATTCTTCTATGCTTTAAAATGTTTTAAAAAGTTGTATATTTTGTTGGTGGAAGAATTATTAGAAATAGCTCCTGAGGGCACTGACTTGGCCAGATTTCTTACTGTGGAATAGGCTATGACTGCAAATACAATTATTTTATGCATTTTTGTGGTTCATATATTTTTGTATTTCTGGGAAAATTTGGCAATTTTTTTTCAATTTGTGTATCTTGTCAGCATTTAAATATTTATTTGAATTTGAATAGGTGCAGTATGATTACCTCTAGTTTATTCTCTTATATGTTTTTAAATGTATGTGTACACATTTTTTTTTTTTTTTTGAGATGGAGTCTCGTTCTGTCATCCAGGCTGGAGTGCAGTGGCACAATCTTGGCTCACTGCAAGCTCCACCTCCTGGGTTCACGCCATTCTCCTGCCTCAGCCTCCCGAGTAGCTGGGACTACAGGAGCACGCCACCACGCCCGGCTAATTTTTTGTATTTTTTTTTAGTAGATACGGGATTTCACCGTGTTAGCCAGGATGGTCTCGATCTCCTGACCTCATGATCCGCCTTGGCCTCCCAAAATGCTGGGATTACAGGCATGAGCCACCGCGCCCGGCCTGCGTACACATTTTCTTATCAAGATTGACTGTTTTGTGCATGTTATTTACAAATTTCAGTATTGTTATCCATTTTATAAATACATGCCTTAATACTAAGTAATTTACTTCAATGTGTTATTTTCAGATAACTCCCCAAGAAGAAGACTTAATTGTATATTTTTAGTTTTGTACTTTTTGGTAGAAAAACAGCTCTTCTGTATCCCACATGTTTTGCTATTTTTTCTTTCCAAAAGTCTGTCTCTAAAGTCATTTTCCTTTCATTCTCATAAGGATATATTTTTACTAAAAAAATTAGTTTGATACAAACTTCTTTGTTATAGACACCTAATTTTATTGCTTTGTATTCAGGCAACATGGTTTGAAAAGAGGAAGATTCTGAAAATTGTTGATGTTTATTTTGTAATCTAGCACATAGTCAAATTTTAGGTATGGTTCATGTGTCTTTGAAAAGAAAATCGGTTATAGGCTTATCGAGTACAAATTTATCCATGAGTATGATATTGAGTGCAAATTTATCTGTAAGTATTATGTTGTTTATTCAAACCCATTGTATGTTGTTTCTTTTTTGACTTCTTGGTTTCTACGTCTCAGAAATTAGCCTTTCTAAGAGACCTATATTAAAGTTTCTCAGATCTAACTTGGCCGCATTATTTTGTTTTAGGTCTTTCAAAAATATATAGCAAACAACTGAATTTTGAGTTTTTAAAAAAATTTTTATATTGAGTCTTTTACTTTTAGAAATGACTTAATTAATTCATAATAATGGCAAATGTAGTGTTTTATTTGGCCCATGATCTTATTTTTTTGGTTTTCTTCTTGCCTTGCTTTTCACATGTTCATCTGGCTTCACTTTTTAAAGTTTAAATCTTTGATATCTTGAGGTTTTATTGTGATAAAAGCTTCATGTGGATATTCAAATCCTTTTATATTAACAGTTGGCCATGTGTGTCAACACTATTTATTAATAATGTATTTTTTTTCACCGGATGTGGTGGTTCCTGCCTATAATCCCAATGCTCTGGAAGGCTGAGGCAGGAGGCTCACTTGCCAAGAGTTCAAGACCAGCCTGGGCAACATAGCGAGACCCCCCCCATCACCCTATAGATGCTTTAATCCAGCTTAAATTTATAAATAAATGTATCTATTTATAATCTTTACAACATTGAGAGTTTCTATCCAAGAAAAAAATGTATGTTTCCATTAATTCAAATGTTCTTTTTTTCATATTCGGTTCCGTTTATAATTATCTAGCATAAGTTTGGCATATCGCTTGCTTGTCACTTATATTTTTATTGCTATTACAAATGGGAAATTTTCCTACATTTACATTCTTTAAAAGCATAATTGTTGGTATTGAATGCTAGAATTTTTTTTTCTTAATTACTGTATTCCTTCCATTCAGTGTACAATTTATTTCAGAAATTTCTCAAAGTTTTTGTGCAGACATGGCTCATCAGAGAGATCCAAGTTTGGTGATTTGTGAAATTTGTATGTAAGATAAATTGAGGGAAAATGAGATTGGAAATATTCATAAGTAACACATTTTAATTATGAACAATAGAATTAATATATACTGAAAAGGAAGAAGCCAGAACAAGAGGGTAAGTTGTGGACTCAGGGGTAAAAAGAGTTTCTGTGACTGTAACTTGATCTAGAAATAGAGAAGAGAGTGATGGACATTTAAGGTGTGAGTTTGGAGTATAACCTCAGGAGAGGATAAGGAGGTTGAGTGAAGATAAGCAAGCAAATCAGCAAACTGACTCTCCAGCAGTTTGGTTGAATCATCCCTGTGAATGATGGAGTTACTAAGGATAATAGCATAGTTACTAAGGTTGGGGGCAAAGAGAAAGTCTGTCTCATGAAATTTCTAAATGTTTACCTGAATTATTTTCACAGGTTTAACAGACATCAAGTAAAATCTTATAAAAATGATATTTTGCATCTTTCTTATAAATATTATATCTTTTATATTTTTCTAAATTAATTGTACTAAAAATACTTCTACTCTACTCTAATTTTATTATTTTTCATCATTTTTAATAAGAGATTTTTTTGTTTTGTTTTGTTTTGTTTTTGAGACTGAGTCTCGCTCTATTGCCCAGGCCAGAGTGCAGTTGCAGGATCTCACTCACTGCAACCTCCCGGGTTCAAGCAATTCTCCTGCCTCAGTCTCCCTAGTAGCTGGGATTGCAGGCGTTCGCCACCACACCCGGCTAATTTTTGTATTTTTAGCAGAGACGGGGTTTCATCATGTTGGCCAGGCTGGTCTCGAAGTCTTGACCTCAAATGATCTGCCTGCCTCGGCTTCCCAGTGTGCTGGGATTACAGGCACAAGCCACCATGCCCAGCCAAGACAAAATTTTATTCAAACATTAATACAGATTTGTTTCATAATGTGGTACTACTGTCTACTCATGAAGTTTCTAATTGGAACTTTGAGGAATGAAAATTTCTCAAAGTGAGAAATTGAGAAATGAAAATTCAGTAGCAATTTATAATGAGATAGATTGAGATGCTAATTCGAAAAATGAGCATAGGTTTTACATATGCTCACCATATAAAATTTTATATATATGTTATTTATATATATACACATTTTGTGTGTGACCTGTGCATTATGTTCTTTCCCTCTACTCTAGTCAAACTCTTTTAATATGTAGAACAATTACATAGGTTTACATGTACATCTGCAGACACTTAAGTGGACAGAAATATGCATATGCATGCATGTATATGTAATGTACCATATGCATTTATATATATATACATACTGATAGTGACAGTATAACCTATACTTCTTAATCTGCTTTGGCAACTGATATGAATCCTCAAGAGAAGTAAAATGGCAGACGGACTGTGAAACAGTCTAACATAATTCACCAGACTGATTGCTAGTCAATTCAAAAAGCCGTCAGCTTGAACAGTTCATTTCATTAAATTGTCAATAAATTGTCCAGTTTGTTTCATTTGAACATTGTTAGATGGATGTTTTCTAAAACCCGAAAAAATTGAAAACTGAAGTCTAATTACCATTATGACTCAAATATATTAGTTTTGTAACTGGCAAAATACCTTTTGCAGTATCCTATGAAAATGCTGTATGTCACAGATTCTGAATTATGCAATTTAGAAATTATTGAAAAATGACACAAACATCAAATAGAAAAATGCAATAATGCCAAATATCAACAAGTAAATATTGTGTACATGTTAGTAAAATGTTTTAAAGTGATGTTATAATATAGATTTCAAATATTTCTAGTTCTTATGTAAAAATAATGAAATTGAAACATATACAATATGCAAATACAGAGCACATCTTCGATAATTATCTATAATTTTTCTCTTAAAATAATAACATAAAGATAAAACATCATTCAGACCGGATTGAGGGTAATCAACATTTTCTTTCTATCCTACACTGCATCTGTTTATCCTACACTGCTCTCAAACAAGAGATTCAGAAATCCAAGAACTGTCCCTTGATTTTGGCTCAGAAACTTAAGCTGTCAGAATGAAAGAGGATTCAGGTTTTAGCAAAATCGGCATTGTACTTGAAGATTAGCCATTAGCTTCAAATACATGCCAGGAGCAGCAGCTGGCCTTTAAAAGCTTCACATGCTCATTTCGTTTCTGCTCATTGATTTATTCAAAGTGAGTGAAGAAGAATAAACAATAAAGAAAGAAGGATGAAAGTACTTTCATGCTATTTTTCTCTATTGGAGTTTATTGTATTTTTGTCATTCAAGGATCAGTCAGTTTAAATATAATAATTAATATTTTTGAACCTTTTATCAGAAACTTCCTTAGACAACAGACTTCATATTCCATGTGCTGCACACATGTACATATGTGTAAGTATGCATGTGTATATATGTATATATGCAAGCATACCAGCATGCATACATAAATATATATTATAAGGAGTCATAGTTAACCTCACAAGTAGAGATACTGTATTCAATGCATAATTTATAGTCCTTCTCAAATATATCCCAAGATTATATAGCTTAACAATATGCACCGACAGTGATAAGTATCATAGCTGGCTATCAACATGATTTTAATACATTATTTTTTAAAATAAGCACTGAGGAATTAAGTGCATTAACTAAGGTCATCTTTCCATACTCCAAATGTTTTATTCATCATCATATTCTCTTTATCACTCACTCAGATGGTCAGCAGTAATAGCTTATAGTGGCAAAGCTCCATTTATTTCACATAATATGACAATAAGTCAATATAGTATAATAAAAAAAAGTCTGGGAGTACCACCAGGATGTTAACGGGATTAAAATGCTCCTGTCATTTCAGGAGTTGTAGAGTTAGAAATGTTTAATATGGGAAAGAGCATTTGTATTCACATTGTTGCTGGACTGTGATGGGAAAGAGGTTTTGTTCTGAGAAATTTCTTACTCCCAAGGGTTTAAAACTTACTCATAAGAATGGGAGTTGGGAGAGAGATTTAGATTCACTTCTAGGTAAGCTCATTCTAACAATAACACAAGAGAAAAATGCAATAATGCCAAACATCAACAAGTAAATATTGCCCAAAATTGAATTAGAAGGGTTGCAATGTAGGCAATTTCCTCTCTATACCAGTGTTCAAGGATACGCAGAGGATTCAAGCAGCACCTAAGTAGCTGTACACGTTTACCATCCTTCAGATGATCCTCCATTAAAAAGTTAGAATGTTTCTAAAGATGCCAGACTTTATATGAGTGGGAGTTAACAGAAATATTTTGGAACAGCCTAAACACTTTTTCCCCATCTCCCCTTTATTTAGTGATATTTGACTTTATACTTCCAAATCATGTGGTTTAATTTGCCATAGATGTTACTCCAAATGGCAGTGTGTTGTCTTAAGAAGCAGGAAATATGCAAATTCAAGAAGATAACTGCAGTGCTTTTAACAAATCTCTGAGTTGAATAAATTTTAAAATCATTAAAAATGAAGTGAGAAAAGTTCTTCCTCTCACAGGATTTATCATTATGGAACATCTGGCATTTAGAATACAGATATTAAAATAAAAATTCATGAAATTTTACATTATTCACAATGTATAATTGATCTTTCTCGGCAGATTTTTCAAGTTAGCCATTCTTGTTTTTCCTTAAAAACACATATTTTATATGACCCAAACATTTTATATTACATTAGAAATACACTGAAATGAGAGTGATATTATGCACTTTCAAAGAAAATTAAAAGCACCTTTATGGTATTAGAAAATCAAGTGAAGAAAAACTAAAATTGTATCATATTCCTAGTAGGCAAATATAATAAACCAAAATATCTTCACCAGTTTAATCATTTTCTAAAACATGTTTTCTTCTTTCTTAGGGAAGCAGCTGTGTGGTTGTCATATAACTGTGTCTTTTGAAAAACAAAATGCATAATTAGTGGTCATTAAGGAAGTAAGGTTATTCTGCACACATGCCAGTCCTTTCCATGCATGCATACAGAGGAATCTAGACTAACAGCAAGAACAGAAACGTTATAGTTTGAGGGCCGTGAAAGACGGTACAATCATAATGTAGAGTGGATTTTCTTCAAAGTTCTTAATTATAGGTCACTTAGGTGGTGAGACAGATGGTAGAATGGTTAAAGTGGATAACAAGACACAAAGACAGGTGTCAGAGATGCTGAGAAAATTTTTTTTCTAAGATGATGTCAGTCTTAGCACTCTGCGACATTGGGACTCCTAGGGCAGGATCATGGGTGGGGCCACAACTAATTTTAAATCATTTAAAAACTGATCTTTTGACTCAAGTGAAACCATCAACTCTGTTCATTATCAACTTGATAGAACATGCTGAAGTATATTAAATTGTCTTTGCAAACAAAATAATATTCCTGCATGCCTTTAGAAGTTTATTTAGGAAGGGACAGCCTAAATTGCATGTGTAGTGAGACTAATAATAATAATAACACAAAAGCTTTGGAGAAATCAATTTATATTAGCCAAGGAACTTTTAAACACAACATATACCAAGATATGTGTTTTTTAATTCATACAGACAACCATCTTATGGTCTCTTGTAAAACCACTTCTGTTGGTATGACTCCCCTCAGAGATGAAAGGAGAAGGGTAGAGGCTGGCATGTTTTGCTAACCTTGAATGGAGGAAATAGAGCTCCTCCTATGAACTGGCTACAGAGAATTTAAAAGGGTAGAACTGGATAAAAAGATTTTGGAGCAATAATAGCACTAGCAATGATAAGAGCAGACACACAACAAAACACCTCTGTTAGGATTATTTAACAAATATTTACTTTACAAATATTTACAAAAAATTTCACATTCTGTTTTACTTAAAGTAGTGGATTAAATGGAGTTAAATAGAATAACCTTGTCTAAAACTTTGAGAACTAACTATTCTCTGGAATGATGTGGGAAGTTTGTAACTGCTCCAAATTCCACTAGAATGCCATTGAAACACTTCAGCACAGCGGTAATTTATATACACAATTTTAGAGAATAGATGGTTCTTTTGTGTTGTAGAATCCAGACTCCTTGACATGTCCATGTGTCTCTTCTTTGAACAACAATAATAATAGCAAAATGTATTATAGTTTCACGATAGAAGCACTCAGGAATCATTTGAGTATTATATCACTAAAGGAGGTGTAAGTTGGCATTAGAGAGGTAAGAAAATCAGATGGGCCAAATAAATGGCTTTATAAGGACAGGAAAAAGCATGAATTGAGATGCTTTTTCTACCCTAGATGTCCATTAAATTGATTTTAAAACAGGCAATGGCATTATTATCTTTTTATTCTTGAGTAATACCCATTTAAGGAAAACACAGGACAAAGGGTAAAAAAAAATCATTTTTTCTTTATTTATTTAAGAAAAAATATGGCCTATCCCTAACAGTTTATAATACCTTCTGTGTGAAACACCTAATGGACTTAATAAGGATCAATCAAAGAAATGCAATGAATTCCCTTAAAAAACTACTGTGCAATATATCTCCTAAAAGAAAATATATAAGAATAAATCCTTTAATATTCAAATTAAAAATAATGCAAATTTCATTGGACATATTGGAGTATGGCTAACTTGGAGGAATATCTTAGCATTATTATCTTGGAAAAGGTTACGAAGATAATATAGATTCATATGGTTTTAATTTCTGCATCTATGTCATGGTAAATAAATTTTTGCATCTATGTCATTAGTAAATAAATTAAGTCTCATAATAATATGAACATATTATAAAACTGCTAACCAGTTAGAAGCATCTCAGAATACACACCCAGAACTTTTGAAAAGGAACCACTAATAAGTTCTCAAAATTGAAAATAATGTTATATGTTTTTCTTTATTAATATATCCAGGAGATCCATGTTACAGAAAAATGACACATAAATTCACAGAAATAACAACCTCAAATATAAACATTAGTGTGGCCTAAGGGAAGCATCCAGTTGATCTGTATTGGTAGAGTTATACTGGTTGTTTTAGGGTAGTGTCTCTTCTGATTAATTAGTGTCTCTGCTCAAACAGTTGTTATGTATTTTAAATATCTCTGCTAAATTGTCTAATAGGTATCATGAAATGGTAGAAAGGTTTCATCTCTGTTATGTGGAATTTCAATGTACAGGCTCCTATCTTCTGCAAATGCAAGATATTAGATAGTGGAATTGTGAGGAGCATTTTACTATGATCGACTACAGGCCCTTTTCTTTTCAATATAGGTATAATTTGTACTTGAGGCAAGTATGTTCAATAAAGGCATTCCATGCTTGTCCAATACAAGCCATTGAGTTATCTTGGGGCATGAATAAAATGTTACATTTTGAAGTTTAGAAAAGAAAAGAAAACCAGTGATTGCTTTCAGTCAAAGAAAAGAGTCTTCACTTCTGCACCAGAAATAAAGCTCCAGAGTTGTGAACAGACCCCACCAAGATTGTCTTCAGTAGTAGAAAATGCATACCCCAAACCTCGGCAAACATTTGATTGAGATGCCATAATTCCACAGCACTGCCTATGGCAAAAACAATTTTAATTATAAAAATTAAATCATAGCATTCAAAATTAATCATAGCATTCTTATCTTTGCAACAATATCAGTAATACTAATGATCAGAATGTTGCTCGAAATATGAATGTTAAAGATCCTTTTATTAAGGTCTCAGATGGAAATGAGGAAGATGGAAGATGCATTAGAAACTGGAGGGAAGACTTTGTTGTGAAGTGGTAGAGAATATGGCTAGATTATTTTCTACTATTGATAGGAAAATAAAACTTGTATGTAATGAATGTAGATATTTCATATGAAAAAAATTCCGAGGCAAAGTGTGGAAAACACTGCCTGGTTTCTTCTTGTTGCTTATAGTAAAATGCAAGAGAAAAGGTAAGTTAAGGAATGAATTGTTACACAACAACAATCTGGAACTTGAAGATTTGAACAATTCTCAGCCTATCCATATTGCAAGAAATGAGAAAGTGTGCCCTAGAGAGAACAGCAAGGGTGAGGCTGTACAACTCTTTGCTAAAAATATTAAGTGTATGATTTATGGAGTCAATTAATCATCTCAGAAAGACTGTCAGCTTGATCTGAAGGGGACGGAGATGGGAAAGAAGTGAATTAAGGCTGTTGGACATCTGGGATTCTAAAGGCAGGTTGTGGGCTGACAGCAATTCCCTGCAAACATGTCTTATTGTTAAAACAAAAAGGGAAGAAAGACCCTCAGGGTGTTTCAGAGGCCGTTGGGACTGCCACTGCCACCATGGGGACAGAACCCACTGGCTCAGAGAGTAGGAAGTGGGGTCACTGCCCACAGCCAAAAGACGGTTACTCCATTTTATTCTGGAAATAGACAACTTTCTGTCTGAATTAGCAGGTTTACAGATGGAGGGGAGATTTGTCTCTGGTGAATCATGCCCCAAATCTCTACCATAACTGAGTTACATGGTTTAAAACACATGATTTTGGACTTAGAGATGATGCTGGAGTGGGTTAAGACTTTTGAGGGTGTTAGGATGGGATAAATATATTTTGCAAGTGGAAATGAAATAAAATTTGAGGGGCCAGAGGGTAGACTCTTACAGATCAAATAATGGCCCCTCCAAAAATATATGTTGAAAAGTGCCAAGTCCCCAGTATCAGAATTTGACCTGGTCAATAGGATCAGTGAAGATGTAATTAGTTAAATGAAGATGAGAACTTCTTATGCAATATGACTGATGTTCTTATAAGAAGACATGTGAAAACAGAGATACACTGGAAGAATGCCATAAGATGACTAAGCAGAGATTAGAGTTACGTAGCTGCAAGCCACAGAACACCAAAGATAGCTGACAGAGCGTCACCAGCTATAGAGGTGATGAAGAATTCCCCCACAGATTTGAGAGGCAGCATGACCCTGCTGAAGTCTTGCTTTCAGACTTTTAGCCTTCAGAATTGTGAGGCAACATGTTTTTCTTTAAGCATCCTGGTTTGCGGCAGTTTGTTATGGCAATCCTTGGAAACTAATATATCTGGCTAAGAAAATGTTTACCTAATTAAAACCAATGTTAAGGTATTCCATTTCATACTTGTTAGACTCCTGGAAAAATTGTTTCTTGTGTTGATTTTTGTTTCATGACAATAAAAGCACATGATTAGTATGTGGGATACATTTTCCTTTTTCTGTGATGTTTGTACATTAATATAGTCTTTTAAAGCCTTAATTCCTGTACTTACATTAAGAAAGATCACAAAAACAAAACATAGCCCTCTTTAAAATATTTTAGATTGTGACATGACGACTGAAGATACAAATTTTCCTACACAAATTTTTAAACTGATATAAAGAGAAGATATCACAAGGAAACCATGGAGTTATTGCATGTTATCTGAAATTGTCTGCCTATAAATTATTTATGTTAACAAGATCAATAATAGAACAATGTAACCTAGACCTTCATTTATCTTTAAAATTTTCTTTAAAATTGCCTACTAACTCTTGGGTCTTTATTTAAATGTTTGTTGAATGAACAATTGAATTAAAATATGAATGCAGGTAAAACAAATAAAAAAGTAATATTATATTAATGAAATTGGGTTCAATATCTGTTTTCATAAAATATAGGAGAAGATAAAGGAATTATATGTTTTTTGGGTAATAAAATGTTGCTTGAGATGTAGAGAGGACTTCATTAATTATTGTTTTTTGTTCAGAATTGGTTCCTTCCAGTGGGTTCTTGGTCTTGCTGACTTCTGGAATGAAGCCGTGGACCCTCGCGGTGAGTGTTATAGTTCTTAATGATGGTGTATCCAGAGTTTGTTCCTTCAGATGTTCAGATGTGTCCTGAGTTTCTTCTTTCCAGTGGGTTCATGGTCTTGCTAACTTCAGGAATGAAGCTTCAGACCCTCATGGTGAGTGTTACAGCTCATAAAGGTAGTGCAGACCCAAAGAGTGAGCAGCAGTAAGATTTATTGTGAAGAACCAAAGAACAAAGCTTCCACAGCGTGGAATGAGACATAAGCTGGTTGCCACTGCTGTCTTGGGTGGCAAGCTTTTATTCCCTTATTTGGCACTGCCCACATCCTGCTGATTGGTCCATTTTACAGACAGTCCTCTCTAAACAGGACACCCCAATTGCTGTTGGGAATTGGGCGATGACTGCTCTAGCTACTTCCTGCTGGATAGGGGCAAAGAAGGGGTCCTGCAGTTGTAGTGTCCTCCAGAGGGGAACTCTTAAGGCCAGTGAAAGGGCCAGCAGGTCAGTCCAGGGGTCCTCAGTAGGAGTTGTTACTTGAGCTCATTTGGGGTTCTATTTGTAAGACCATCTGTAGCTTGATGGCCTTGATCCTAGAGGAAACAAATTTGACAAGGAGGGGAAAAATACAGGGCCTGAAGGCGAGTAATAGCAAGATGGCTGTCATGGGATCTAGAAAGGGGAGAAGCGATGTTGTCCAACTCCAGAGGTTGGTATAAGAGTTCGAAAGGCATTGTCTGATTTCAGAAGCCTTTTCCTGTAAATGCCAGGTGGCATTTTATACTATCCCTGACTGGTTAGTGTAAAAGCAACACTCTTCCTCTAAGAAGGTGCAAAGTCCTCCTTTCTCAGCAGGGAGGAGGTCCAGGCCTCAGCGGTTTTGGAGAGTCACTGCTGTCAAAGAGTCTATTTGAGATTGTAGAGTAAGGATAGATTCCGTTATTTCTAGCAAACTGTCTGAGAAATCCTTTGAGAGTGTGTGGTAGTAGGATAATGAAGTAGATAAACCTGCGATTCCAGTTTCTGTAGCCATGGCCATTCTTAACCATATAAGTAGGGGTATTAGTTGTATGGCTCTGCACTGACAGACTTGAGCTTTGAGGGGTACTGATAGGGTCTGATTTCCATAAGATTAGAAGTTAGGATAATACATGTTACACTGTTAACTTTTAGCAAACTTTACTTTTTTTGAAAACCTTGTAAGTTTGGGAATTTTAATTTTTCTTTGCTGTTAGTAAGAACTCGTTCAGTCCTTATTGACTTAGAATTAGTATAGATGGATCCTTCCTGATTCTGTAAGTACTCTAAGATTTGGCTGAGTACAAACAACTCACACGCTTGAGCAGACCAATTATTAGGCAATTTTCCTAACTCTGCTTCTACAAGCGTTCCCTTATCACTTACTAAATACCTATTGTGTCTTTTTCCCTTAATTGCCCAGGAGGAACCATCTATCATCCTGTCCTGAAGGAAGTTCCTCCTAGATCTGGTTGGACCTTTGTATGGTAATTAGTTAAGATTTAGATCCCCTGTTAGGAAACCTGCGGTGTTAAGGATTTTTGACAGGAAGGCTATGGGTTGTCAGTGGCCTCAGTGCTTTCGGGCTACACCCTTGTTTACACTGACAACAAGGTGATATTGGAATGTTATAGGGTCACAGAGAAGACGTTCAATTATCAATTATAGGTTTTAAATTTACCCTGGCTTTTAAAGGAATAGGGTACACTATTTTTTTCTTTTTTTCTTTACTACTTCCATCTCTCTTTATTTCTCTTCTTCTTTGTGTCTCTGTCTTTCTGACTCCCTCTTTGTCTGTGTCTTCCTCTCTTTGACTTTCCGTCTCTCTGTCTCTTCCTCTCTCTCCTTCTCTTTATCTCTGTTTCTTCCTCTCTTTCTCTTTCTCTGACTTTCTGTCTCTTTCTCTCTTTCCTTCTGTCTTTGACTTTGTCTCTCTTTCTTTTTCTTTCTCTCTTTCTGTCTCTTTCTCTTTCCTTTCTGCTGGTCTTTCCTTGCCTCTGCCAGCTGCTTGTGCTGCTGTTCTCCCCTCTCCTTCCCCTTTTGATGGCTTTGGCAGCATAAGACTGCCAACTCCTTGGGTTTTTGCACTGCATGCAATAACTCCATGGTTTCCTTGTGATATTTAATGGAGGTTCCCCCAGATGTTAGGAATGCCCTTTCTTTCCATATTGCAGCATGGGCATGTAGGATTAGGTAAGCACACTTGCTATCTGTATACACATTTGTTCTTTTTCCTTTTCCCAGTTCTAAGGCTCGGGTAAGTGCTAACTCGGTGCTGGTCCCAGGGGGAAGAGGCTTACACTGGTCCCTGGGGGAAGAGGCTTACTTTCAAGTATGGTTACATCACTAACTATCACATAATCTGCCCTTTGTATCCCATTCTCCACAAATGAACTTCCATCGGTATATAAGTTAAGGTCAGCATTAGCTAAGGGGACTTCTAAGAGATCATCTTGGGTAGCATAAGTCTGGACTACAATTTGTTGGCAGTCATGCTTGGTTGGTTCCCCATCCTCTGGCAGAAAAGTGGCAGGGTTGAGGGCTATGCACATACATATTTGAAGCACTGGTCCCTCAAGGAGTAGCACCTGGTATCTAAGTAAGTGGTTGTCTGATAGCCATACACTTCCTTTGACAGTTAATATGCCATTTATATCATGAGTAGTCCACACAGTGAGATCCTTTCCTTGTATTATTTTGATAGCCTCTGACACTAAGATGGCCACCACCACAACTACCCTTAAACAATGAGGCCAGCCATTTGCTACTATATCATTTCTTTACTTAGGTATACCACTGGTTGTAGTGAGAGAAGAGAGACAGACCCTTTCATATTGTTTTATGTGGTTTTATACTCAGAAAAGGAAAGAGAAGTGAAACTAAAGGCAGGTAGCCCTGTGCCTAGGAACCAGACCTGAAACCAAGGAACCAGACTCAAAACCAGGCCCGGGCCTGCCTGACCTAAGCCTGGTAGTTAAAAGACCCCTGACCTAGCAACTGATGTTATCTATAGATTCCAGACATTGTATGGAAAGACATTGTGAAACTTCCCGATCTGTTCTGTTTCACTCTGACCACCAATGCCTGCAGCCCCTGTCACATACCCCCTGGCTTGCTCAATCAATCATGACCCTCTCATGTGAAACCCTTAGCATTGTGAGACAGAAACTGTGCACCTGAGAAGCCTGGATTTTAAGACGCTAGTCTGCCGATGCTTCCAGCTGATTAAAGCCACTCCCTTCACTATCTTGGTGTCTGAGGGATTTTGTCTGCAGCTCGTCCTGCTACATTTCTTGGTTCCCTGACTGGGAAGAGAGGTGACTGACAGACAGCTGAGGCAGCCCTCTAGGCGGCTTATGCCTGACCTGTGGAACATCCCTGCAGGGGACTCCGGCCAGCCTGAATGACACAATTCATAGAGAGCTCCTGGGTAGGCAATTGCCCCAGTGAAGTGCCTCACCAGAGCAGCATGTAGCAGGCCCCCATGGAGGATTAACACAGTGGCTGAACACCAAGAAGGAACTGGCACTTGGAGTCTGGATATCTGAAACTTGGTAAGACTAGTCTTTGGAAATTGCCAACTCCATTTGAGTGGAAGCGTGGCCTGATCACCCATGGCATGCCTTTATTGGCACTTTGATTTTGGTTTTGGTTTTGACTTGGTTTGAATTGCTTGACAAGACTGGTCTTAGGAACTTGCCTACTCCATTTGCATGGAAGCATGGCCTAGTCACCCACAGTGTGCCTGTACCGGCACTTTGGTCTTTGTTTTTGACTTGACTTGGATTGCTAGATACTTTGGTTTTGGTTTTGGTTTTGACCTGGCTTGGATTTCTGGATACTCTGATTTTGGTTTTGATTTTGTTTTGGTGTAAACTGCAAAAGTGTGTGTGTGCCCTTTTTACCCGTTTTTTGTTTTGTGGTGTGCGTGTGGTGTGAGCATGGTGTTTTGTCTCGAAGAAGCATGGGTCAGGCACAAATAAGCCCACCCTACTAGGAACTATGTTAAAAAAATTCAAAAAGGGATTTAAGGGAGACTATGACACCAGGAAAACTTAGAACTTTATGTCAAATAGACTGGCCAGCATTAGAGGTAGATTGGCCATCAGAAAGAAGCCTGGATAGGTCCCTTGTTTCAAAGGTATGGCACAAGGTAATCTGTAAAGCCAGGGCACCCAGACCAGTTCCCCTACATAGATACCTGGTTACAGCTGGTTTTAGATCCCTCCACAGTGGTTGAGAGAACTGCAGCATAAGCAGCTGGCAGAGGCAGAGAGAGAGAGAGAGAGATAAAGAGAGAGATACACAAGTAGTTAAGAAAAAAAGTGCACCCTATTCCTTTAAAAGCCAAGGTAAATTTAAAACCTATAATTGATAATTCAAGGTATTCTCCGTAACCCTATAACACTCCAATACCACTTTGTTGTCAATGTAAACAAGGGTGTATCCCAAAAGCACTGAGGCCTTCCTATCAAAAATCCTTAACCCAGTAACCCACAGATGGCTAAAATGCATTCAATCTGTAGTGGCAACTGCTTTGCTAACAGAAAAAAGTAAAAAAAAAAAACACATAACTTTTAGAGGAAACCTCATTGTGAGCACACCTCACCAGTTCAGAAGTATCCTAAGGAAAAAAGGGGGGGTGGAATTTATGTAAAAAGAGTATTATATGGTAAACTCTTGTCCTGAAATAAATTAACTGGTTGTTTAAAGAAAGAAATATTTGTAATAAGTCAGAAAGTTAAGGCATGTCGAAGAATTGTCTGCAAAAGTCGTAAAAGAGAAAAATGTTATAAAAAAAGAATTCATGCAAGAAATGTTGTATAGTTTAAAAGTAACTAGGCCTCCTGAATGTAATACTATTGGAAAAAAAAGTTATGTGCAAGGTGTATAAGGAAAGTAAAATATACCTTTGGTAAAAGGATTATAAGGAGGCATAAGAATGTAAGTTTGTACCTACATTAAAAGGTTTAAAATATGTATGTTTTGTTTTAAATGTTTAATCAAGTTTTAAAATGTTAATTGGAAAGAAAATTCTGTATGTAAACATTGGCTAAAGTTAAAGATGTGTCATCCAATTTTTCTGTAAACTGGACATTAAAATAAAAGCATAGCAGGTTTTTCTTAAAGCACCAACCTGCTCTTTAGCAAAAATTATAAAAGGTTAAAAAGTGTCTATAAAATCTTACCTTATGGTCAAATATTAAAAATTGGATAAATATGTCTACAAGGTTTTATGAAAATTAGGTGTAACGTTAATAACACACTAATATAAAGGTAAAATTAACTTATCTGCTATAAAATTCATACAAAAGGCATTGTTAAATGTAAAATGGTATTTGGCTTTCTTTGGTTTAAAAACTAATAAAAATAGGTGCTAAAGGAAATTTCACAGTAAAAAGGCATTTAGGACTATAAAGTCCACTGCCAAGGTCCCCACATTTAAAACAAAATGTCAATTTCTTAAAAATTATATACTTGATTTATCTTCCACTTTCCTTTCTCTCAAAAACTAAAGTCTTTTAGCACATGTACCACCCCTAGAATTTCTGGTAAACCAGCACCAGCCTGAAGATCACTTTCTCATCAAAGGGTGGAAAAAATAAAAACTCGAGCCAGCCTGGGAAGGACATTACCTTGTGCTGCTAACCACCAAGACTGTTGTTCGTCCAGCCAAAAAAAAATAAAAAATAAAAGGATGGATTCATCACACCCGAGTCAAGAAAGTGCCCCCACCTCCAGAGTCATGGGCCATAGTCCCAGGGGAAAACCCTACCAAACTAAAGCTAATAAAAATTTAACTCTTTTCATCTAGTCTATTACTCTTTCTTCTTTCCTCGTTCTATTGCTGACCATCTACTTATTAATATAACCAAGTCAATTTCACCTCAAACTATTGCATTTAATGCTTGCCTTGTTATACCCTGAGGAGACTTTCCAAGTCAAAGACAGCTTTCTACTTCAGAAAAGTACTTCTGTCCCTCCTGACTCTCCTCACACTGGGCATTAGTAAACTAGGACCATTTAATCTGGGGAGATTTCAATAAAGACCCCAGTGCCAACCACAAGTACTGTCCCCAATGTAGAGCTTTTATGCCATAGTTGGTCCAACATTCTGTGGACCACTAAAGAGCTAGGATGGACTGCCCCAACCGGTTTTTGTAATTTCCTAAAACCATACATTCATTTTACTAGAGGATCATAGAAGTTAAAGACTTAAAACAAACTTCAGCAATTAAGACAGGATACCAAGATGCAAATGCCTGGTTAAAATGGATCAAATATTCCGTCTGCACTTTAAACAAAAGCAATTGTTATGCTTGTGCACATGGCAGGCCAGAGGCCCAGATTGTTCCCTTTCCACTAAGGTGGTCCTCCAGTTGACCAGGCATAGGCTGCATGGTAGCTCTCTTCCAGGATTCTACAGCCTGGAATAATAGGTCATGCCAAGCTCTCTCTGCTATATCCCAAAGTCTGGCACACTGCGGGTCAGCCCCCGAGGGCCATCCAGCTTCCATCTCCCAACACTAAGTTCATTTCGTGTCTCTCTTGACAGGGAGGAAACTTAGCATTCATCAGGGACCTGAAGAGATACGATGAACTTAAGAATTTTCAAGAGCTTATCAATCAGTCAGCCCCTGTTCATCCCCAAGCGGATGTGTGGGGTATTGTGGTGGACCTTTACTGGGCAATCTGCTGAATAACTGGAGTGGCACTTGTGCTTTACTCCATTTGGCTATCCCTTTTACCCTGGCATTTCATCAACCAGAGGAAAAAAAAATAAGACATCATAAGCGAGAGAAGCCCCTTATGGGTCTTTCGACTCTCACATCTATTTAGATGCAATTGGAGTCCCACAAAGAATACCAGATCAATTTAAAGCTTGAAATCAAATAGCTACAGGATTTAAGTCAATATTTTAGTAGGTGACAGTTAATAAAAATGTAGATTAGATAAACTACATCTATTACAACCAACAGCAACAAGCTTTTCATGAGTTAAAAGAAAAACTTATGTCGACCCCAGCCCTGGGACTACCTGACTTGACAAAACCCTTTACACCCTATGTGACAGAAAAAAAAAAAATGGCAGTTGGAGTTTTAACCAAGACTGTGGGGCCCTGGCCAAGGCCAGTGGCCTATCTCTCAAAACAACTAGACGGAGTTTCCAACAGCTGGTCCCCATGTCTAAGGTCCCTGGCAGCAATGGCTCTGTTAACACAAGAAGGAGACAAATTAACCCTTAGGCAAAACCTGAATATAAAGGCCCCCCATGCTGTTGTAACTTTAATGACTATCAAAGGACATCATTAGTTAATGAATGCTAGACTAACTAGATACCAAAGCATGTTCTGTGAAAATCCCCGCATAACCATTGAAGTTTGCAACACCCTAAACCCCAACACCTTGCTCCCAGTATCAGAGAGCCTAGTTGAACATAACTGTGTAGAAGTGTTAGACTCAGTTTATTCTAGCAGGCCCAACCTCCGAGACCATCTTTGAACATCAGTAGACTGTGAGCTGTACATGGACAGGAGCAGCTTCTCCAATCCTTGCAAAGCGACTCTAAAGAAGACGACAAGCCCTGCTCTAGTCACACCTGGAGGCTGACTGGTCCACGTATGGCTGAAGCATGAGAAAACTCATCGAGGGACTCATTTTCCTTAAAATTTGGACTTGTACAGTAAGGACTTCAACTGATCTTTCTCAGACTGAGGGCTGTTCCCAGTGTATACATCAAGTCACTGAGGTAGGACAAAAGGTTGCTATAATCCTATTATTTTACAGTTATTATAAGTGTACTGGAACTCTAAAAAGAACTTGTTTGTATAATGTTATTCTATACAAGGTTTGTAGCCCAGGAAATGACCAACCTTATGTGTGTTATGACCCATCTGAGCCTCCCATGACCATGGTTTTTAAAATAAGATTAAGGACTGAGGACTGGTCGGGGCTCATAGATGATATGAGTAAAGTGTTAGCCAAAACAGGCGAACTCCTGGGCTTCCCTGTCTATGCTTTCCGCGAAGAGAAGCATAGCTATAAAAAAAAAATAAGAAAGATAATAAATGGCCGCCTGAGAGAATCATACAATATTTTAGGCCAGGTACTTAGGCACAAGACAGCTCGTAAGGATACCGGACCCCCATTTACATGCTCAATCGAATCATATGGTTACAAGCTGTCTTAGAAATAATCACTAATAAAACTGGCAGAGCCTGGACTATTCTGGCCTAGCAAGAAACTCAGATGAGAAATGCTGTCTATCAAAATAGATTGACTTTTGACTACTTGCTAGCAGCTGAAGGAGAAGTCTGTAGAAAATTTAACCTTATCAATTTTGCCTGCACATAGATGATCAGGGGCAAGTAGTCGAAGATACAGTTAAAGACATGACAAAACTGGCACATGTGCGAGTGTGGCATAGATTTGATCCTGGGGCCATGTTTGGAAATTGGTTCCAACACTAGAAGGATTTAAAACTCTTATAATAGCAGTTATAATAGTAATAGGAACTTGCTTACTGCTCCCTTGTTTGCTACCTGTACTTCTTCAAATGATAAAAAGCTTCATCATTACCTTAGTTCACTAAAATGCTTCAGCCCAAGTGTAATATATGAATCCTTATCAATCTATTGCAGAGAAAGACATAAGTAGTGAAAATAAGAGTGACAACTCCCACTAATAAAAAGTGAGAATCTCAAAGGGGGGAAATGAGAGAAGAGAGACAGACCCTCTCATATTTTTTATATGGTTTTATACTCAGCAAAGGAAAGAGAAGTGAAACTAAAGATGGGTAGCCCGGCACCTAGGAACAAGACCCGAAATCAAGGAACCAGATCCAAACCCAGGCCTGGGCCTGCCTGACCTAAGCCTGGTAGTTAAAAGAACCCTGACCTAGCAGCTGATGTTATCTATAGATTCCAGACATTGTACGGAAAGACATTGTGAAACTTCCTGGTCTGTTCTGTTTCACTCTGACCACTGGCGCATGCAGCCCCTGTCACGTACCCCCTGGCTTCCTCAGTCAGTCACGACCCTTTCATGTGAAGCTCTTAGCATTGTGAGCCCTTAAGAAGGACAGAAATTGTACACCTGACAAGCCTGGATTTTAAGACACTAGTCTGCTGATGCTTCCAGCTGATTAAAGCCACTCCCTTCACTATCTCGGTGTCTCAGGGTTTTTTTCCGCAGCTCATCCTGATACAGTGGGGTTGTCCCACAGGTCTGAGTAAGGACTCCAAGAGCTAGCCTTGCTCTCTCTGTGACATATAAAGAGAAGTTTTGTCCTGTGAGAATGCTTAAAGCTGGAGCTTGTACTAGGGCCTGCTTTAAGGTTTTGAAGCTGTTTCTGCCTCTGGTTCCCATTCTACAAGATAAGTATTTGCCCTCTGGGTCTCCTAGATTAGAGTATAGAGGGGCCTGGCTATCTCGCTGTGTCTGGGGATCCATAGTCAGCAAAAGCCAGTGATTCCAAGGAATCCCCGCAGCTGTTTTAATGTCTTAGGGTGAATATAAGCCAGTAAAGTCTGTATTCATTCCTTGTTGAGGGCCCTGGTCCCTCTGGCTAAGATTAGGCTTAGATAGTTGACCTGCTGTAGGCAAAGCTGGGCCTTTGACCTAGACACCTTGTACCCTTGATTAGCTAGAAAGTTCAAGAGATCTAGAGTAGCCTGCTGGCATGAAGCTTCTGAATTGGTAGCCAAAAGTAAATCATCCACATACTGAAGGAACAGAGGGCCTGGACTTCAGAAGTGGCCTAGTTCTTGGGCTAGTGCCTGACCAAAGAGATGAGGGCTATCCCTAAACCTTTGGGGCAAGACAGTCCACATAAGTTGGGACATGTGGTCTGTGGGATCCTCAAAGGCAAAGAGAAACTGGGAGTCAGAGTGGAGGGGAATACAGAAGAAGGCATCCTTGAGGTCCAGAACAGTGAACCATTCTGCTTCCTCTGGTATTTGAGAGACCAGGGTAGAGGGGTTGGGTACAACTGGATATAGAGGAATTACTGCCTCATTGATAAGTCTAAGATCTTGCACTAGTCTCCACTGACCATTCGGGTTTTGTACTCCTAGAATTGGGGTGTTGTTGCAGGGACTGCTGCATTTTCTTACTAAGCCTTGAGCTTTTAAATGTTTAACAATATCCTGTAATCCTTTATGAGCTTCAGGCCTTAAGGGATATTACCTTTGATAAGGAAAAGTGGTGGGGTCTTTTAGCCAGATTTGGACTGGGCAGGCATTTTTTGCCCTTCCAAATTTTTTTGGCCCAGACTTCATGGTTGATTCCCCCCTCAAGTAGGGGACAACAAATTGGTAACTTGTTCTCCATATTCGTGTAGATAATAGCTCCAGCTTTGGCTAATATATCCCTCCCTAATAAGGGTGTGGGCCTTTCAGGCATAATAAGAAAGGCATGTGAAAATAGCAAAGTCTCCCAATTACAACTGAGGAGGTGGGAGAAATACCTGGTTACAGGCTGTCCTAGGATTCCTCGGATAGTTACAGACCTTGAGGACAGTCATGTGGGACAGGAGATTAACACTGAGAAGGCCACACCAGTGTCCAGGAGGAAGTCAGTTTCCTAGCCCTCAATGGTTAAATGTACCTGGGGCTCAGTGAGGGTGATGACATGAGCTTGTGCTTACCCCGGGCATCCTCAGTCCTGTTTTTCGATCATCTGGTTGGGGGCTTCTGGCCCAGAGAAGCTTTGCTCTCTGGGGCAGTGTGCCTTCCAGTGACTGCCTCGGCAAAGCGGACATGGATGAGGGGGTGGCTTGTTTCTCATTGGACAATGTTTTCTAAGGTGTCCTTGCAAACCACACTGGTAACAAGCCCCATCAGGTGATTGGCATGCTCCATTTTCTGTCCTCTCTGAACTACAAAGGTTTGTTTGTCTGAGGGCCATGACTAAGGCTGCAGCCTTTCTCTGATCTCACTTTTCCTTTTGGACCTCTTCCTCTTGGTCCTTATTATAGAACACTGAGGTTCCCAGGTTTAATAATGCCTCCAGATTTTGTTCAGGGTCCAGGGCTCACTTTTGGAGCTTTCTTCTGATATGTGTGGCTGATTGGGTAATGAACTTATCTTTTAGGATCAATTGGCCCTCTAATGAGTTGGGTGACAGGGAAATATATTTTCTTAAGGCCTCCCATAGCTGCTTGAGGAAGGAGAAGGATTTTCTTCCTTTCCCTGAGTTATGATGGACTTCATTGAACAATTCATGGGCTTTTTCCTAATTCTCCTTAGTCTTTCTAGAACACAGGTGAACAGATGTTTATGACTCCAGTCCCCATGGTCTGAGTTGAGGTCCTAGTGGAGATCCATACTGGGGATGGCTTGCTGACCAGTAGGGAATTTGTCCCTTTGTTCAGCTGTCATTCTATCATTTACTGGACGATGATACCAGGTATCTCCAAACTCTTGGGCTGCAGCTAAAGCCACATTATTTTCATTAAAGGCCAGGGTTTGATCTAACAATAGCATGACATCTCTCCAAGTGAGATGTAGGACATCTATGTACCTATCAGGATCATCTGAAAACTTTCCCAGGTCTACCTGGATCTGCTTTAAATCAGATAGGGAGAAAGGACATGTACCCAGGTTGGCCCAAATTCCCCTCCCCCTACAGCTTGAAGGGGACATAACTGATAGCCCAGGGGGTTTTGTGGTCCTTTGGAGATTTATTTGCTTGTTTCTTTGTGGGCAGGGGAGATTAGAGGAGGCTTATCATTAATAGGAAGGAGAACTATAGGGAGGCTAGGATATGGGAGTAAGCTGAGAGGTCCTCTTGTGGGATGTAAATTGCAAGCTTTGCATAGCTGTGTATTCTCCTTCAATGAAAAGAAAGCTTGGATATAAGGTATTCACTCCATTTGCCTTCCCTCTTACAGAAAAGGTCAAGCTACAGGATAGTATTGTAATTTATACTTCCCTCAGGTGGCCATTTTTCCCCATCAGAGAGAGAATATTGGGGCCAGGCCATAGTGCAGAAAAAAATGAACCTCCTCCTTCTCAGGGTTTGCGGGTCAAATTGGTCCCAATGGCTTAGGATGCATTTCAAGGGTGAGCCTGTTGATACCTGAGGGTTTCCCATCTGAAAGACAAAACCACCCGTGGTTTTGTTTGTTTCTACCCCCAGCCCAAGAACCCACAAAGGTCCCTGGACCCTGCTGATTGGAATAGTTGCACTCACCGATGCGGTAGCAGAAACACCTCTTGCCCAAGAACCTGCAACGGTCCCTGGACCCTGATGATCAGAATGGTTGCACTCACCAATGCAGCAATAGAAACACCTCTTGCCCAAGAACCCACAATGGCCTTGGACCCTGTTGATAGGAATAGTTGCGCTCACTGATGCAGCAGCAGAAACACCTGTTGCCCAAGAGCTCACAACAGTCTCTGTACCCTGCTGATAGGAATAGTTGCGCTCACTGACACAGCAGCAGAAACACTAGTTTTCCTCCTAGACCACAAGGAGGACCAAAGGCAGTTGGATTTAGTGGCCCTTACTGAAGCATTCTTGAAAACCTGTTAGAGTCCTAAGCATTTTCCTGTTAGTGTTGGGACCTTATGCCTATTCCATGAAGATGTTATGCCCCAAAAATGAAGTAGACGGCCATACCCTGAGGGAGGGAAGGGATCGCCAGGGTTGGAAGAGTGATGCCTTTTGTCCTCACTTATATGAATAGGAAAGATACCATTTCTGAAGCTCCCCATATCCTAGCTTCAGGAATAGCTTTTGTTTGGCCTGCTAGTCTGAGGAGGGATCCTAAAATTCCAGAAAGTCCCCTGTATGATGGGGCTTTGGGCAAAAAATTATGTCTTTCTGATTGGTGAGCCCGGGTGCCTAAAGAAGGTAACAGAGTCCTGAAGTTTATATTAGCAATAATTCTTATAGGAGAAACTAGAAAAGCACCAGAGACAGGGAGTGGTTTTTAGAAGTGGGACTAGCCTCAGAGAAGAGAGGCAGGAGGAAGTTTGTCTGACAGGCATTAAGACCCAGTAGACAGAGGTCAGGATAGATAGGTGGATGGGAGAGTCTCACTTGGGTGACATGACTTTGAGAGTTCTGCTCATGGCTGCAAGGTCAACCAACTTGTTGTCAGGATCTTGGAGCTGAATGGCTTTCCTCTCTGTCCACCCTAGGCTCAGCCCAGAAGTACAGGAAAAGCAGAAGCTGGTTCCAGGCAAACCAATGCTCCCAACTCTGAAGAGTCGGGGGTTGTTAGAGAGCCCTTTCTCAGAAAGTCTGACACCCATGTTTTTAGCCACCACGCTAGTCACTTTTAACTGGCCAACATGTGCCCAGTATTTAGCCCCCGAATTCTAAGGAAAAAACAGGACAGAATAGCAAGCGAAAGGGGTCCGATGGTACTCGCCACTTAGCGATACACGATAGTCCCATCTGGGTTGTGAAAATGTGTCTGGAATTGGTTCCTTCTGGTGGGTTCTTGGTTTTGCTGACTTCAGAAATGAAGCTGCAGACCCTCACTGTGAGTGTTACAGCTCATAAAGGTAGTGCAGACCCAAAGAGTGAGCAGCAGCAAGATTTATTGTGAAGAGTGAAAGAACAAAGCTTCCACAGTGTGGAAGGGGACCTGAGCGGGTTGCTGCTGCTGGCGCAGGTGGCCAGCTTTTATTCCCTTATTTGGCACCTCCCACATCCTGCTGATTGGTCCATTTTACAGAGAGCTGATTGGTCCATTTTACAGAATGCTGGTTGGCCCATTTTACAGAGTGCTGGTTGGTGCATTTACAATCCTTTAGCTAGACACAGAGCACTGATTGGTGCATTTTTACAGAGTGCTGATTGGTGTGTTTACAATCCTTTAGCTAGACACAGAGTGTTGATTGGTGCATTTTTACAGAGTGCTGATTGGTTCGTTTACAATCCTCTAGCTAGACAGAAAAGTTCTACAAGTCCCTACTCGACCCAGGAAGTCCAGCTGGCTTCACCTCTCAGTTTTGCCTCTAACTTTACTGTATTTATATAAATAATATACTTGTAGAGGGAAGCATCTTCAATTGTTCTAAGATGTTTAGGTCAATAATGCACATAGGTTAGGAAATACCAACTACTTAGTCATTAACAGCATCTTTCTTAGTTTGAAAATGTAAGAACATTTCCCTCCAGATTTGACTCACAAGTCTGAGCATAAAAATAATTTGCCCAGGAAGTGCTAAAGCAGTGTCTCATAGTGGAACGATCCTTCTAATTAGCACTTTATATGGAGGAACTAAAGAAAAGCCCTGTACATCTGGATTTCTGTTGCTGATATGTCAGTTATTGGGTGTATAGACTCTACAGACATTAAAAGATTTCCAATTTAAAGTGAGGCAGTTAAAGTGATTTCATTAAAGTTTTGAGGGAACTAGGAATGATAGGACACATGGATCTCTATTTCATTGGGAGGTTTATTCAAAATTTTGAGAAATAAGTTTGCATTACTTTTGTACAATTGTGGAGATCATCTCTCTGGCATTCAAGAAAATTGACGTGATTTATCTTTTTTACTTTAGTCATTAATGTATTTTTAACTGACAGAAAGGGAAATAACCTAAAGAGTTAGAAAGGATATATATTTAAAGTTGAGTTTTTCATTAGTAAATAAATCAAGGCTCATAATAAAGATAAGTTAAATCAGAAATTTAATATTTAGAACTCTTTCTACAATATACCAAGAAAAAGTTAATTTTCATCATACCTTTAGGTCCAAGGAACCCAATTAAGTGAAAACATATAGATGTTTGTTTTTTAAGTATTTGGATTAATTTAGCCTGTCACCATTGATGAAATGTTATCACTTACATAAGTCAAAGCTCTCATATTGCCTGGCATGGTGCAACATTTTGTGTTAGTACTCTATGACACACTTTTGCATGCCTCTCAAACTATAATTTTGGTATTTATTTTGTCCCATTTTGTATTTAAACTTTGAAGCATTTCTCACAGTTTCTAATCAACCAAATTTCCTCTTCTTTTTTTTGCACATACATTTATGTATATTTTATTTATATCTTATATTTTTATTATTTATTAATGTCATTTAATAATATACTGGGTTTGAAGCACAAAGAAGAGATGATGTGTATTTTGCTCATCATGTTGAAACTAATGACCCCTAGAAAAGTTGAATTCCAGCATTTGATCATAGTCATAAACTCTGACTACCTGGACTGGAGTCAATGTATGATATGGTAAAACCAATTTAATCTACTCCCTAACCCTGTCAGGTAGAGACATGTTGTCTCTAGACACATTTTTTCATATTTCAAAACACACTTTAATTTGACTCAAAGGAAGCGCATTTGAAATACAAGTGATGTACTTGAATTTCATATAGCTCTTAATGTCCATGGATTAAATATTGGGACAGAGAGAAGTTACTCATTATGATGACTATACTCTTTTTATAGCTAGTTGAGTTAATTATTGACATGGATGCTTTTCAAAGGATCTCAACCATATATAATCAATTAAAAGGTTTAATTTCTATTTCTAAAGAAATGAGATAGATTGCCCTCATATATACCTATCACAAAGTTAGTTCAGTTGACCAAATTTTAAGGAGGCGATTTGCTATTCATAGCAGAACACATTTGTAGGTCAACTTGGAACTATTAGTAGCCTTATCAGCCTCCGGGAATCTTGCATTTTTACTAGGGAAAGCTTTTGACACATCAGGAAGCAAAGAACACCTGACACTTAGACACTTTCACATCTATTGTCTTTTTCTCTTTATTTGAGACTAGTCAAGTTGTCAGCTACAAATGCAAACAGACTTCCCTTTATGTAATGCTTTCTATGGTCCTAAAAATAGTAAGACTTTCTGTTTGCCAGTATGTGAGGAGGCAACTATCATTTTCTTTTAGAATCACAATATTAACGTCAATATTAAGTAGACTTTGCTGTAATTCCTTTTAAAGATACACTACAAGTCATTGAAATCTTTGTGGGGAAATTGACCCAAACATTCTATATGAGTAATTCATAAATCAGAAACCAAGCTGTTTAAAAATATTCTCAGGTATGAATTGATACTGAGATTTGTTTCAGCACCATGATACACTTGGGTGGTTAGTAAGTAGTGTGGCCATATAATTTATCATCCAAACCTGTACCTTTTAGAATGAATGGCAGTATTATTAATTGTGCAGGAAAACAACCATTACTGAGATGTCTGAGGCAAGCTAGAATGTATGGTCACCTAATTTGCCACATCATGAATTCTGCCAATAGCTAGAAGACTCTGATGAGATTTACATTTTAACAGGAAGAGCCACAGTCTTAAAAAAATAAACCTGAGGTTAAGAGTTTCAGGTCAAAGTTATTTTGCATAATGTGATTTTCTTCTACAGAAACAATTTATGAAATATTTAATATAGATTAATGTGGAAAAATCTGGCTACTCAAAACATTTTCTACCCCTTAGTTTCTGTTGTACCTATTTGATTTGATCCAATAGTGTAAAAAGTGTGTGTGTGTGTATATGTATATGTGTGTGTATATATATATACGTATATATATATATACATATATATATATATACGTATATATATATATATATATATAAATGCATAGAGATTTTATTGTTTTTAAGCTAATTGACTTTGACTAGTATGAAAAGAATATCCCAGACTTGGCTCTTTATAACTCTATGATCCAATTAACTTAAATAATGGACCTAAATTATAAGCACACATAAAAGGTTGCTTCATACATATTTTGTTTAGGTACCATAATATTTGGGATATTTTGTTAGAAAATTAATATTGTTACAAGTATATTATTAAATAATATAGAAAGTACTGATTTGCTTAATTTCATTTTGCTTATCACATCACCATTTATGTTTAGTGACAGACAGTATATTATATATATTACTTCCAGATGTTTTATATACGTATAACAAAATTCAAGTACATACTAAACATAAATTACACATGAATCTATCTTTTCCTCCTACAACTCATTGCCAAAAGCTTTTTTAAAAAACTTCTCGGGCCAGTGCAGTGGCTTATGCCTGTAATCCCAGCACTTTGGGAGTTTGAGGTAGGAAGATTACTTGAGCCCGGGAGTTCTAGACCAGCCTGGGCAACATAGTGAGACCCTGTCTCCACAAAAAAAATTTAAAATTAGCTGAATGATGGGGTGAGAACCTATAGTCCCAGCTACTCAAGAGGCAGAGGTGAGAGGATCACTTGCACCCAGGAGGCCAAGGCTGCAGTGGGGTGTGATTGTGGCACTGCAAACTTTAGCCTGGGTGACAGAGCAAGACCCTGTCTCAAAAAAAAAAAAAAGAAAAAAGAAAAAGAAAAAGAAAAATCCCCCACCCAGTAAGTTGATCAAACTTTTATTACATTTTACACAGAAAAGCTATCTCTGAATTATGGGGCAAGGAGCCCCATCTTATATAAAATTGAGATTTAACATTGCTATTAGTCCAAAGCAATTTTAATGTAATAGGTTGGTGGTCTGAAAAAGAATCCACATTACATTATGTGTACATTCTTTTATAGTGTAAACATTATTATTAATGTTCAGAATCCACTTTATTATGGTGGCAGGTCAATCTAACAGTTACTGTTTCTATGTTGCAATTGTGTGTGTACATCTATTATACTAAGGATATATATGTATAATTTTAAAAGATAGAGAGCATATCTACAATATTTTATAGTCTAACATATTTTTCCCAGTGCTGTTAACCTGTTATTGTGTGACAAAAATGATTGAGACATAATCAATTAGTATCAAATGCAGATTAACCAACATCCCAAAGTAAAATTTATTTACTTTGCAAATTAAATGGATATTTGATGTGCAAAACTTGTACTTAAAGTTAGTTAATAAATTTTTTTATGTTTTTATCTTCATTATTTTTTAACAGGTAGATCTGCTTATGTATAATGCCTTCATAAGCTTAGGTATTTTAAAATTTAATTATACACTTTTCATCTCTATAACCTGTATTATGGTCTAATTGGGTTTGCTTAGAAAAACTGTAATCATGTAATAAATGCCAATGGTTTTAGTTTATCATTTTCATAGGTAGGTTAATTAAAGAAATGATTTCTTTTTGTTTTCTTTTAAACATTGTGAAAAATGCACTCTGATATAAGGTATGAAATTAGAATACGATAGATTACAGGCTGAAATGGGTTGTAAATCAACTTTCAATACTGTGAATATTTTATAGCAGGCATTTGCAAACTAAAATTCTGACATTTATATAGCAATGCATGCATAATTTCACTCGTATATGTCATTTCCCTGAGATGAAAGTAATTTTAACATGCAAGGTCAAAGAAATGATTACCTCTGACAAATAATAATAAAAGAAGCTAAGGACAAGTATCAAGAAGTAATTTAACATTTTTCTATTTTGCAGAGCATTTAATATCTAATGTACACCTTTAGATAAGACTAGGAAAGGTGAGGTAGGAAATCCTTGAGGTAATACGGAGATAACTTCAAGGTAGATAAATTGTTCCTTTGATTTAATGGCTGCTATTGTTCTCTGGCCAAAACACAGTTGGAACTGTTCTTGTGGGATGGCAGTATCTCCTATATCTGATAAATGGTATGACCAGGACAACCTCAGTCTCAGCAGGAAAGACATTGAACAAATTGTCAGCATGATTTACATAGAAGTTGTCAACAGTATCTGGGTTGCTCTGTGAAAGAATGATGGGTAACAGATGTTCTGGGAAATGCTACCATCTGCCCTTTCTCAAAATACATCCCCTGTGAAACAATGCATTTGAATGGATGCCACTGAGATACCTTTCCTCGGAAGAGCTTAACCATCCTCAGTATTTCAGTGTTACTTGTAGCCATCACAAAAGCAAAACAGTCTGAAGACTGTAAATGCAATTAGGTCAAGGAAGCAGACAGGTCCTTGAAAACGTCTTTAAGTTTAGCCACGTCATTTGGAAAGGGATTGGCTGATGACTCCCGAGTGCTTGAGCTAGAAAAATTCCACCAAGAAGTCAGGAACTCGACCTGTGCATATCTAGCCAGTGATGTCATACTTGTGGATTATTTAGTGATTTGTTTAAATTCTACAGTGTCTTCACAATATTTTAAAACTATTTGCTCTACAGTTTACAATAATATAAATATAACCAGGAAAGTGAATATATAATTGAATAAATTGATAATAACTTTTGTATAAATGCTTTTAGTAATGGAGCAATGTGCTGAAGGTTAAATGCACAATGGTTGATCATTATTAACAACAGTAAGAGGTCAAGGCTCTTAAAGGGAAAAAACCTTTAGCCATTTCCTTAACCTCTATCTTGCTGGTATGTATTCTTTATTTTCAGTGAGTTTTTTTTCTTCTGCAGAGATGGTGATTAGATTGGTGCTTGTTGTACCTGGGACAACACATGCAATTAAAAAAAAAAACTCCTTAAAATCTAACCATATTTTTACATCTACTAAACACTTTTATATACTGAATTATTAAGACGAATATTATTCTTAAGCATGCAATTCAAAGTGCAAAAAGCATTTATGATGTTTTCTTTCCTTTGTGGATTTAAGTCAGGTTTTATATCTTAATGTTTAAACTCCCTACACTTGTGATAATATATTCATTTAAAATAGAATAATAGATGTTCATCTCGACAGGCATAGAACAACATATATGACAATAGTGATATAGGCTCTGCTTAGTTTATTATAATTTATTAACATATAGCTTTTATAGTGATCTTAAATAATTTTAAGAACCGAATGCCTTGAGAATGGTAAATGATACATTGGATATATTACACATTTATCACATTTAGATATTTCAAATTTATCTTACAAGTTTATTAGAGATGGCAGTATTAGAGTAACCAGAATATTAAGTTTATGAAAATAATTTATTCTTAGTAGTCATTCTGGATAAAAAGGAATAAGTTCTTCCTTTGGGTTGAATATGGCTTGTGAGAAGGTTTAACCAGCCTGAGAGTAGAATCATCCGCCATCAGATTTATACAGGACCTTTGGGCAGAAGCTACTAAAAATACAAAAATTAGCTGGGCGTGGTGGCAGGCGCTTGTAGTCCCAGCTACTCAGGAGGCTGAGGCAGGAGAATCGTTTGAACCCAGGAGGTGGAGGTCGCAGTGAGCCGGGATAGCACCACTACACTCTAGCCTCAGTGACAAAGTGAGACTCCATTTCAAAAACAAAAGGCCGGCAGGATGGCTCACGCCTGTAATCCCAGCACTTTGGGAGACCAAGGCGGGAAGATCACGAGGTCAGGAGTTCAAGACCAGCCTGGGCAAAATGTTGAAACCCCGTCTCTACTAAAAATACAAAAAATTAGCCAGGCATGGTGGCGGGCACCTGTAATCCCAGCTACTCGGGAGGTTGAGACAGGAGAATCATTTGGACCTAGGAAGCATAGGTAACTATGAGCCGATATTGTACCATTGCACTCCAGTCTGGGAGACAGAGCAAGACTTCTTCTCGGGAAAAAAAACAAAAACAAAACAAAACAAAAAAACTTTTGTTAAAAAACAAAATTACATGTACACACTCAACACAGAAGAACATTGGCCAGAGCACAGGGAAGAACATACATTTGAACGCCTTCAACCTAGCCCTAGGCAACTACCTTTTATGTTGGAACGCCAAAAATAACTTCTTATATCTTAACTTATATTTTAATCTCATGTTATCTTCTCATTTTTTCACCATTGTCTTTGATAAAATCTGGAAAAAAATTGTCAGACTGAATCATGGCAAATTAAAAGGAAGGGGTTAGACATGCTGTCCTCTTTCTTTAGCTAAGTCTTTAAAAAATATATATGAATCACCAGAGAATCACTAATTGTCTTACGCCATCACAATTTAGCTAATGCAGTTCAGCAAACACTAACTGAAAATCTAATTAACACTCCTGTGTGTTAGGAAGACACAAGTATAAACATACAATTATTATTCACACATGGTAGGGCAGCGAGACAAGTCTTACATAGACACACGTGTGGGTGCCCTAAAAGTTAAGTTTAGATGAGATATGTCAAATGAATTTTACAATTTGTTTTTGTTTGTATGTTTGTTTTTATCAGCAATAGAACCAGGAATTTCTTGACCTTTTATGTATAAAAGTGAATAAATTTCACTAACTCTCTTATCTTCTTCTAGCCCTAAGACAAAAAGACTTATTTGTCAAGATCTAAGATATATCATTAAAACTGCATATGCAAATACTGGAGATAAAGAAAGAATAGGGTCTGAGTAATTATATATAGTTTATAAATAAAAGAACCAGATTCCATTATAAATCATGTCTTTATGATCATTAAAATTTTAACAGCAACAGCTTATGTGGTTCTAATAACTTTTCAAGTGATTACAGATCATTAATCAAGGATATATATGATTCTTCAGTTTATACAATTCTAGCCTATAGCAGAGTTCAAAGATGGATAATCTTTTATTAGTGATAACATGCAAGGTATATTAGATTGAGTGAAATGATGGCCAACTCTATTCATCCCTCTTCTTTATGCCTGCTTTGTTATGTAACTTCTCAGTTATATGACAACCTGCTTAGGCAGGTTGACCCTCCATACCTTGGGTTCTGAAGCTGAGGATTCAACTAAGATGGAAAATATTCTGAAATAAAAAAGAAAAAAAAGCATAGCAGTAAAAAAATACAAACAAAAATACAGTACAACAACTATTAGTATTAGGCATTATAAGTAATCTAGAGATGATTTAAAGTGTGTAGGTTATACCAAATACTATGGCATTTTATATCAGAGACTTGAGCATCCACAAATTTTGGAATCTGTGGGGGGCCCGGAACAAACACCCGTGGATACTGAAGGAGGACTGTATATGTGATGCATGCAGAGGCTTGAAAAAGTGCTTGTGGTGTCTGCACTTTCTCTTTTGCATCTCTTGAATGAGGTGATTCTCATGTCAATGCCCAAGCTCACCTGCTGGAGGATGACAAATCATAAACTTTTCAAACTGTATTTCTCTGGTCTTGCCAGGCAAGACTGTCTTAGGTCATTTGAAAGACAGATAATCCATAGATATGAGCCAACCAAAGACACGTGAGTGAGCCCAACTGAAATCAGGGGAATCTCCTAGATGTATAAGTTAAGTAACTGTTTATTGAAATACATCACTGAGGTTGTGTGATTGTTTTCTACATAGTATACTTAGGAGATAACTGATGCTCAGGTACACAAAATTATTTTTGTTTGTTTGTTGTTGTGGTGGTTTTGTTTTTGACCACCATAACGCTTTCTTTAGTGTAATTTGAATGGCTGCTCTTAGAAGGCTATGCATTTTTCAATTAACTAAAGGGTCGATCATGTGCTATTGTTTTGCACCTGGCCCAAATCACATGTTTACGTCATTTGGTTGGATTCTGTAAGCTTTTACTTTTATAGCCTTTGATCTTTATAGGTATTTTTAAATGCTTACTCCTTGGAAATAATAAAGCACTTGACACAGACTTTGATTTTGGAAATCTAGTTCTCTATAAGCTAAAAAGTCTCTGGATCATCTGCCAAATAAATTATTTCTAGAATATATTTCAAGAATAAACTCACTTCTGGTTGTAACAGTATGAAACCACTTTTTCATGAATAAATATTGTTTGTAGTAATCAAATAAAAATCTAGTTATGTAATTAATTTAGTTTAATTCATTATAATTTCCTTTCAAATGTAATGAAATAAACTATTTTTGATTTGCATTTTGAAGGTAGTTAAAATTGTTTCCCTTCCTTTTATTAATACATTCAACATATTTTTCTAAAATGTTATGTTAGACAATAATAAATCAGTCCAGCAAACAGACCTGAATATTATTGCATAGATAACTTTCCAACTTCTTATGTGTTGTAAAGCTCTTTCCTAAGTGTCTTTTTCTGAACTGATTTAAACTTTACTAGTTCTTTTGTCTTCCTTGTTTTTCTCTGTTTCTTTCATTTGGAAAATGTATTTATCCCATGAGTACATGCCTTGTGCTTAACAGTTACAATACAAAACTTTAAATGCCCCCTACTTACAAAGAGGTTTCAACTGGTTAGGGGATGAACCTTTATATAAATGTACTTCTACATTTGTCTAAGTCACTCATTTTATACCAAGACGAAAGTGTCTTGCACTGCTTTTGATTTCTTCAAATGGAGGGCTATCTCTGCTTAATCATGCACTTGCTTATCAACTCGTTAAGGTTAGTGACTGTACATTACGTCTCTTCACTTTTAACCTCTAGCATTCAGTTGTCCAGTTAATTCCAAGGCCCTAGAACTGTGCATGACATGCAGTGGTTTCCTTGTATTATATCGTATGCAGCTCTGGAGCCCAGCTTTTATGTTCCCTGGCCCCTTTGATTCCACCTATAGTTATGATGCAAATGCCCTGCCTTTCTGCTGTCTGCCCTGGGGTCTTCCTCAAAGCTGGAAGAACTCACTCAACCCAGAAAAGCATCCTCTGGATGGTAGAAGATACCAGGATCGAGTCATGTCTGTAAGACTCTAATTTGAGCCGGGAAAGCACAAAGGAGGAAGGCCCATGCTTGCATGTCTGAGATAAAACTATCTCAAGGACTTTCTAAAATAACTCCACAAGAAATCACTTTATGTTTTTTATGCATTTAATGCTTCTCGTGACCTACATTTTGCATGTGTACACATATCTCTGTGACCGAGTTTATCACTAAACATTCATTCGGACTGCAGCAATTCAGATAAGATGCTCTCATAAGAATACTGACTCAGTAAGGGCATCTCCACCAATAAATTAATGCAAGCTCTGGCTTTGAGTCTCTGAAACCAACAAACTCTGTTTCCAAGCAGTTTGTGTGAACCTCTCCTTTTTGCTAAAAGAAGCTTGCTCTCACCCTCCCCTCTTCAGGTGTATCTGTGACTTGCTGTAAGTGTGTATCGGGGTTATAATCATCTTTGCCTACTTCTGATAAATTCATTAAATTAGGACATATTTTTCTCTTCTGTCTTTTTTTCGGCTGACATGCCGATGGGTACATCTCTCAACTGAGAAAGGAAGCCAGTGGTAAATAATGCATTCCTCCTCTGCTTCAAGTGCACAGTCCTATAAGGCATTCTGAATGCTTCTTAAAAGGTCCACAAACACCCCAAATTCTGCTATAGCAACAGTAACTACACAGTAAACATTCTGAACGTCGCTCCTTCCTCTTTTTATATTCAACTGGGCTCATCCGCCATCGGCCTGCCTGCCAAATTTTCTCTCTAGTTTCAGGAGAAACCAAGGACACCCTTTAATAAATAATTCTTGACAAACAAATAAATTCCCATTGTTCAGCAACATAATCTACGGTGAAGGTAAGTGAATGTTCTCAAGCAAAAATGGCATTTGTCAATGTTAAAACCTAGGGTTCTGTAAGTTCATGATTGGTTGATCAAATTATTAGGTTATACATTTAATATGGAACATGGAGGTGAGTAGACACAGTTGTCTCTGACTATTGAACCAGCTATTAAAAATGATCTCTTCTGGCTACATAAAGTAAACATTTTAAGACTTTGCCAAATACTAATAAAAATGACGTGTTTGAACTGAGTTGAGGTTCTTAAAAGGAAACATAAATTTCACATCAGGACTTTAGCAATTAATGACTCCTAAGCTCTGCCAAGTGAGTAGTTAAGCGGCCTTCCTTCTTTTACATACTATGAACTTATGGAGTAAATTTTTTCAAATGGTACAGCAATAAGGAGAGTAAATTATATGTTTCTTTAAAATTCAGTTGATCTGAAGTAACACCCTGCTGAGTTACAGTATACTATTTTTCACAGGAAATGGGGTTCATCTGGGTGAGAGTTACCTTTGTTTAGCTGTTGCTGATTACTGACAGTAATTAATTACTTAAAAATGATAAAAATAAACTTCAATAGTTACACTAAATAGAAGTTATTTCCAATGACTCTTATAATGAGATATAAATATTTGAAGCTGTATGTAATTTTTAAAAGTAATTTCAACTTACATTTCAGATTCAGAGGCTACAAGTGCAGATTTGTTAACATGGGTATATTGCATGATGCTGAGGCCTGGAATACAGGTGATTCCGTCACCCAGGTAGTGAGCATAATACCTGATAGATATTTCAGCCCAAACTTATTTTTTGTGCATAATTTGCCTTTTTTTGTTTTCCTTTATATACTTTTTAAAAAAAATTTTACCTTAAGATCTAGGATACATGTGCAGAACATGCAGGTTTGTTACATGGGTATACACGTGCCATGATGGTTTGCTGCACCCATCAACCCATCATCTACATTAGGTATTTCTCCTAATGTTATCCTTCCCCTAGGCCCCCCAACCCCCAACAGGTCCCGGTGTGTGATATTCCCCTCCCTGTGTCCATGTGTTCTTATTGTTCAACTCCCAACTGTGAGTGAGAACATACAGTGTTTGGTTTTCTGTTCTTGTGTTAGTTTGCTGATAATGATGGTTTCCAGCTTCATCCATGTCCCTGCAAGGGACATGAACTCATCCTTTTTTATGACTGCATGGTATTACATGGTGTATATGTGCCACATTTTCTTTATCCATTCTATCATTGATGGACATTTGGGTTGGTTCCAAGTCTTTGCTATTGTGAACAGTGCTGCAGTAAACATACGTGTGCATGTGTCTTTATAGTAGAATGATTTATAATCCTTTGGGTATATATCCAGTAATGGGATTCCTGGGTCAAATGGTATTTCTGGTTCTAGATCCTTGAGGAATCACCACACTGTCTTCCACAATGGTTGAACTAATTTACACTCCCATCAACAGTGTAGAAGCATTCCTATTTCTCCACCTATTCTCCAGCATCTGTTGTTTCCTGACTTCTTACTGATGGCCATTCTAACCAGCGTGAGATGGTATCTCACTGTGGTTTTGATTTGCATTTCTCTAATGACCAGTGATGATGAGCATTTTTTCATGTTTGTTAGCGGCATAAATATCTTCTTTTGAGAAGTGTCTATTCATATCTTTTGTCCACTTTTTAATGGGGTTGTTTATTTTTTCTGGTAATTTGTTTAAGTTCTTTGTGGATTCTGGATATTAGCCCTTTGTCAGATGGATAAATTGCAAAAATTTTCTCCCATTCTGTAGTTTGCCTGTTCACTCTGATAGTCTTCTTTTGCTGTGTAGAGGCTCTTTAGTTTAATTAGATCCTATTTGTCAGTTTTGGCTTTTGTTGCCATTGCTTTTGGTGTTTTAGTCATGAAGTCTTTGTCCATGCTTTTGTCCTGAATGGTATTGCCTAGGTTTTCTTCTAGGGTTTTTATGGTTTTAGGTCTTACGTTTAAGTCTTTAATCCATCTTTCGTTAATTTTTGTATAAGGTGTAAGGAAGGGGTCCAGTTTCAGCTTTCTGCATATACTTTAGAATCAATCTTCTATGTGCATAAGACATGTTTTTATATGTTTTCACTTTTAGAGCACCTGAGTAGAATTACAGTCAAATGTTAGGTTTATTTGTGTTTGAATTCTAATTTAATGCAAAAAATATAAAAACTAAATGATTACATATCCCCTTTTGATATGTAATCAAAGAAAACAGCCCCCCCATACACCAGTCAGCATGCATTTCCCCAATCTAAGCCCATAAAAACCCCAGGCTCAGTCTGGCAGCTGGCAATTTAAAGTAATTTAAAGTTCTATTTTTATTGAAACATCATCAAATTCCCTTCTCAATATCTTTTAGTCTTTGTACAAGTATTTTCACTAATAATTTTTATTAACATCTCTGTCCTTTAATTATGCATAAATCATATACAGTGCTTATTAAAATGTTATAATTTTATTATCTATTAGAGATAAGTTTACTAAAATATTGTTCTTTAATTTACCAAAAAGAATTGATATTAATCATCTATGAAAGTCACCATTCAGTAGTCAAATATTTTATCTATATTAAAAATAATGTGAGATAACTCTTAAGAAAAAACAAAAAGCCTTTCAAAACATTATTTCACAGTTAAATATTATATAATAGTCTTTTATGTAAATATTTTTATTATCAAAGGAAAGATAATTTTATATTCCACATTCTTATCATATCATACATATCTCTTATGTTTCTAAAGTATAGTTATTGTTACCATTTGACATGACTATAGGTTGTTACATCTGGTTGAGATATAATAGAATTAGCTGCATGTATTTAAATATAGAGCCTTCTTTAAAATTTTTGCTAGTGTATAGTATTTTATATATTTTTTGTATATGGAATTAATTTGCTAAAATGCATCTATAGAATGTATATAAAATTTATATTTCATGTCATGTTTGTTACCAAAGTAATATAGATACCTTTAAAGACTGATCTCATCAGTCTATAAATGTATTTGTTTCTAGTGTATTTAAAATAATTGCCTCAATCTATTTTCTCATATTTTTCTAAATAATTCTCTTCTCTTTTTTATGATCTCAAGTTTGTTAAAGTTATACCAATGGTATTTTTTTCTATTTTTAAATTAAAAACAAATGTGTAATTTCTTGAATAGTCCATCTGTATCTTTGAGAATGCTGATGCATATTAACTTTGTATTGTTGCACAACAGATAATCAGTTATTTGTAGTGTGCATGATGCTATATTATATGATTTATGTCATAAAAATGTTGCATTACTTGCTTGAAATTGAATACACTTATGTTATAATAAAAATTTTGTTTTAGAAGTGTCTGTTCATGTCCTTCGCCCACTTTTTGATGGGGTTGTTTGTTTTTTTCTTGTAAATTTGTTTGAGTTCATTGTAGATTCTGGATATTAGCCCTTTGTCAGATGAGTAGGTTGCAAAAATTTTCTCCCATGTTGTAGGTTGCCTGTTCACTCTGATGGTAGTTTCTTTTGCTGTGCAGAAGCTCTTTAGTTTAATTAGATCCCATTTGTCAATTTTGTCTTTTGTTGCCATTGCTTTTGGTGTTTTGGACATGAAGTCCTTGCCCACGCCTATGTCCTGAATGGTAATGCCTAGGTTTTCTTCTAGGGTTTTTATGGTTTTAGGTTTAACGTTTAAATCTTTAATCCATCTTGAATTGATTTTTGTATAAGGTGTAAGGAAGGGATCCAGTTTCAGCTTTCTACATATGGCTAGCCAGTTTTCCCAGCACCATTTATTAAATAGGGAATCCTTTCCCCATTGCTTGTTTTTCTCAGGTTTGTCAAAGATCAGATAGTTGTAGATATGCGGCATTATTTCTGAGGGCTCTGTTCTGTTCCATTGATCTATATCTCTGTTTTTGTACCAGTACCATGCTGTTTTGGTTACTGTAGCCTTGTAGTATAGTTTGAAGTCAGGTAGTGTGATGCCTCCAGCTTTGTTCTTTTGGCTTAGGATTGACTTGGCGATGCGGGCTCTTTTTTGGTTCCATATGAACTTTAAAGTAGTTTTTTCCAATTCTGTGAAGAAAGTCATTGGTAGCTTGATGGGGATGGCATTGAATCTGTAAATTACCTTGGGCAGTATGGCCATTTTCACGATATTGATTCTTCCTACCCATGAGCATGGAATGTTCTTCCATTTATTTGTCTCCTCTTTTATTTCCTTGAGCAGTGGTTTGTAGTTCTCCTTGAAGAGGTCCTTCACATCCCTTGTAAGTTGGATTCCTAGGTATTTTATTCTCTTTGAAGCAATTGTGAATGGGAGTTCACCCATGATTTGGCTCTCTGTTTGTCTGTTGTTGGTGTATAAGAATGCTTGTGATTTTTGTACATTGATTTTGTATCCTGAGACTTTGCTGAAGTTGCTTATCAGCTTAAGGAGATTTTGGGCTGAGACGATGGGGTTTTCTAGATAAACAATCATGTCGTCTGCAAACAGGGACAATTTGACTTCCTCTTTTCCTAATTGAATACCCTTTATTTCCTTCTCCTGCCTGATTGCCCTGGCCAGAACTTCCAACACTATGTTGAATAGGAGCGGTGAGAGAGGGCATCCCTGTCTTGTGCCGGTTTTCAAAGGGAATGCTTCCAGTTTTTGCCCATTCAGTATGATATTGGCTGTGGGTTTGTCATAGATAGCTCTTATTATTTTGAAATACATCCCATCAATACCTAATTTATTGAGAGTTTTTAGCATGAAGGGTTGTTGAATTTTGTCAAAGGCTTTTTCTGCATCTATTGAGATAATCATGTGGTTTTTGTCTTTGGCTCTGTTTATATGCTGGATTACATTTATTGATTTGCGTATATTGAACCAGCCTTGCATCCCAGGGATGAAGCCCACTTGATCATGGTGGATAAGCTTTTTGATGTGCTGCTGGATTCGGTTTGCCAGTATTTTATTGAGGATTTTTGCATCAATGTTCATCAAGGATATTGGTCTAAAATTCTCTTTTTTGGTTGTGTCTCTGCCCGGCTTTGGTATCAGAATGATGCTGGCCTCATAAAATGAGTTAGGGAGGATTCCCTCTTTTTCTATTGATTGGAATAGTTTCAGAAGGAATGGTACCAGTTCCTCCTTGTACCTCTGGTAGAATTCGGCTGTGAATCCATCTGGTCCTGGACTCTTTTTGGTTGGTAAACTATTGATTATTTATGCAGCCAAAAAACACATGAAGAAATGCTCATCATCACTGGCCATCAGAGAAATGCAAATCAAAACCACTATGAGATATCATCTCACACCGGTTAGAATGGCAATCATTAAAAAGTCAGGAAACAACAGGTGCTGGAGAGGATGCGGAGAAATAGGAACACTTTTACACTGTTGGTGGGACTGTAAACTAGTTCAACCATTGTGGAAGTCAGTGTGGCGATTCCTCAGGGATCTAGAACTAGAAATACCATTTGACCCAGCCATCCCATTACTGGGTATATACCCAAATGAGTATAAATCATGCTGCTATAAAGACACATGCACACGTATGTTTATTGCGGCACTATTCACAATAGCAAAGACTTGGAACCAACCCAAATGTCCAACAATGATAGACTGGATTAAGAAAATGTGGCACATATACACCATGGAATACTATGCAGCCATAAAAAATGATGAGTTCATATCCTTTGTAGGGACATGGATGAAATTGGAAACCATCATTCTCAGTAAACTATCGCAAGAACAAAAAACCAAACACCGCATATTCTCACTCATAGGTGGGAATTGAACAATGAGATCACATGGACACAGGAAGGGGAATATCACACTCTGGGGACTGTGGTGGGGTCGGGGGAGGGGGGAGGGATAGCATTGGGAGATATACCTAATGCTAGATGACACATTAGTGGGTGCAGCGCACAAGCATGGCACATGTATACATATGTAACTAACCTGCACAATGTGCACATGTACCCTAAAACTTAGAGTATAATAAAAAAAAAAACACATGAAAAAAAAAAAAAAACAAAACAAAACAAAGCAAACATGGAAATGTTTGTTATTTTAATTGTTATGATGGTTTCATGGCTGTTTGCATGTGTCAAAACTCATCAAATTTGTGTACGTTAAATATGTGAAACTTATTGTATGCTGGTTACACCTCAATAAAGCTGTTAAATTTTTTTAAATTTAAAAATATTATTTCAAGAATAAAATAACCAAACCATAAAAAAAAAAAAAAAAAAAAAAAAAATTTTGTTTTAAAAAAGTAATTAAAAATTGGAATGATTATTTATTTTGGGGATATAGATATGAAGAAAAATATTTTCAAACCATTAAACAATTTTTAATATTTAGTAGACACCATTTAATATAATAGCAAAACTGAGTTTTTTAATGATGTCCTCGGTTCATTGTATTAAAAGAGTTTCTCATTGGAAAAAATATGGGAAGCATTATATGAATGTAAATTTGAGCATATAAAATTGATAGATCCATTATAAGATTAATATCCAAATAATAAAAATATTCAAACATTCAAATAATAAAAATATCCCATCCAAACTTACCAAACATTAAAAATAATACAAATATTAAATATATATTTAAAAAGAAAATATTCGAATTTCATTATTGAGGCAGAAAAGTAGTACAGGTGTGGCAGACAATTTTCTTTATTCTTGTTACTTATAGAATAACATTTCATTTTCTGTTTTGTCTTTAAAAATATTTCCTTTGCTCCTTCGTAGAAGATATATATTTATTTTCCAAGTTATATTTTAAGTTTTTAGCAATATCTTTTCATTATATAAATGGCAAGAAATTTATTCTCTTATTCTAACCTGATCCTTAATTTCATAAAATCTAGAATTTTAGGTACAGATTAGTAATACAATTTTTGTGGTCTGTATACATGTATTTCAGTATTTTTATATCATAATTACAGGATATTGATATGTGTGTACATGTAAATACATTATATTTAGGCTTCTATTTTAAATAGGGCTTTTTGTTTGTTCATTTTAGTCACTGTCAATTCATTTAAAACGTAAGGCCTTCTGCAGTCAGTATTTTAGATGGTTAAATATATGAAATATTTTATAGGCTCTTCCACCTCTGAGAATTTAGTTTTTGCTTTTTGTTTAAAGGACTGTTTCATAGCATCATGTCATTCTTTTGCCTTTATTTAACTGCAGTATTCCTCTAAGTGTTCTTTTAAACTAATTTTTCATCTTAAGAATATTGTATTTCAGTACATATAGGTTAAATTTTCTCCTAACTATTGTATGATATTTACAAATATAGGTTGACCTAACTTTAATTAGCAAGTTCCTTACTGACGTGCATTTAAATTTTTTCCATTTAATTATAGTAATTGTTGGAAACAATTCAATTTCATTTTGCACATTCTTTGATGTGGTCCTAAAGGACTAATTTATTTATTTTATTTTGATATTACTGCCAAATTGCCTTTCAATTTGGCCATAACATTATACTCTATCAGCAGTAAATGACTGCTTGTTTTCTAATTCTTTGAATGAATACTGTAATCAGAATGTTAAAATGTTGCCCATCTAATTGTTGGCAACATGATTTGTTTTTATAAATTGTTATTTATATAATATTACTGATGAGAACATCATTTCTCACATTAATTAGTCATTTGGGTTTTTTTTTTCTTGTAGTTGGCCTTTGGCTTTTATTCTTATTTTGATCTAGATAAACACATCAATATTATTCTTCATAAATTTTTCACTTTTGTCTGTTTGGAAAGCTTTCTTAACCTTAGGCTACAAATATATTATTGTTCCTTTCTACTTGTAGTATGTTTGGTCTTAGTTAGTTTTTATTTACAAGATATTTGGAATTTGTCTTTAGCATTTATTTCATTTTGGGAGATATATACATTTTCACAAAAGTTTTTATTTATAAGGTATTTGGAATTTGTCTCTAGCATTTATTTCCTTTTGGGTGATATACACATTTTCACAGAGAATAACTTATGTCATAAGGTTTTAAGGTTACTGTATAAACAACTATATATTGTATTCTTATTTTAAAGTTATTCTTTGTATATATAATCTTCTAGATCATCAGTCTTTTCTAATTTTTCTATTTTTAAAAATAATTTTCATGCTTTAATTTGATTCATTCCTTAAGGCAAATTTCTTGAAGTGGATAATGCTGGGTCAAATATTGACATTCCATGGAAGGTGGGTTTCTTCAATATTATTTGACTAGGCTCATAAGGAAAAGGTAGGACTACTATTTATAAATTAAAGAAGATTTTTAATCTGCTGTGATTGATACAGCATTCAGGCCCAATGTAAAGTGATATAATTTTAAATCATGCCCTCCACTGGTGAGGGAAGAGGTGACAGGCACAGTGTAAAACTCATAAGTGTTGTGTGAATCTCGACAGAGGTCAGGGTTCTGACAGACAAAGAATTAAATCCCACTCTGTCACATGACAGTTGTTTGACCTTGGGGAAATTCATTGTTTCCCTTGACCATCGACTTCCTCATTGCCATATGGAATGTTGAGTACAGAGAAAGTACATTCTTTTCCGTACTCTATGGACAAATGAGATCCTATTTCTGTTTCTCATATAAGGATGGGATGGTAGCTGTGTGATTAGGCAGCATTGCTTACAATAAACATCATCCCAAATAATTCAACAACATCTGGACAGGAAAGCTATGAATGGACTGCAATAATTATTGGTGATAGCTATAGGAGGCAGGCAAATTCCTAGGCAGACAGTGACAGGTCCCTGCTGAAGCTTAAAGTTCAAGCTAAGGACCATCTGAAGCCTGAACACCAAACTACCAGTTCTGAATGAAGTCCACAGATGCAAGTGAGAACTTCCATTCCCATTCAGTGTGCTCAGCCCCTGATTGATCCTGGGCCGAGGTCCCAGCCCAAGCCTCCACTCCAGCCCCTGATTGATCCTGGGCCAAGGTCTTCCCTTCAGCCACTGATTGGTTCTTTACACTATTGCACCTCTTTCTGAATGGTGCTTTTTTTCAAGCCCACCCATACACCAGTCAGCATGCATTTCCCCAATCTAAGCCCATAAAAACCCCAGGTTCAGTCTGGCAGCTGGCAACATGCTGGCAACCCACTTTCGGGTCCCCTCTCGCTGCTGATAGCTTTCTTTTTGTTGCTCAATAAAATTCTACTCTGCCTTACTCACTCTCCAGTGTCTGCCTACCTTATTCCTCTTGGTTGTGAGGCAAGAATTTGGAAGTTGCTGAACTGTGAGAGTGAAAGGGCTGTAACAATCCCTCCTGTTCACTGAACTATGGCAGTGAAGAAGCCACGATATTGGGAAGCCATAGCTTTGGGGCTGTCCTGAGAGCAGTGGAGCTTTGAGGCTGTCCTGAGAGCAGTGGAGCTTTGAGGCTGTCCTGAGAGCAGTGGAGCTTTGGGGCTGTCCTGGGAGCACTGGACCTTGTAACCTTGTGTGAACTTCATTGGAATACTAGAAGCTTTCCCTATGGGACCATTGTAAGAGATATTGATTCCTATTTGAGACCTGGGGCTTCTGAGCCAGTGATGCCCCTCTCTTTGTGATCTCCTTTCCTTGCATCTAGATTGTCCCATGTACATACCAAAAAGAAAAATAAAAAACCTGGACTGCTGTGTCTCCTATGACAACTCTTGCTGCTGAAAGATGTCTCAAGTTATCCACTGCTATGTTTCCTTTCCTGTTTTGTGTCCTTCCAAGTGAAGCCAGCACCAAGTACAGCCTACTTAAGTCCCGTAAGTCTAACTGATATATTGAGCCCGAGAAAACTCAGAGAGGGGACATGGTAGAACGATAATAATCATGCTACTTAAAAAAAACGAAACCACTATATCAGAAAAATAGCAGCACTCCCATGTTCATTGCTGCATTAGTCACGATAACCAAAAGAAGGAAACAACCTAAATCTCCACAGACAGATTAATAGATAAAAGAAATGTAATATACATACATACATATATATGTGTATATATGCATGTGTGTATATATATATATATATATATATATATACACACACACACACACACAAAGAAATACTATTCAGCCTTAATAAAGAATGAAATCTCACAACAACATGGATGAACCTGGAGGACATTATCCCAAGTAAAATCAGCCAGGCATAGAAAGACAAATATTGCATGATATTACTTATATGTGGAACCTTATTTTCAAAGTTTGTATTAAAAAGTTTACATAAAAAACTTGAACTCACAGTAACAGAGAGTAGATTGATCATTGCCAGGAGCTGGAGAGTGAGAGTAAGGGGGTAATGTTGATCAAAGGACACAAAGTTTTAGTTATAAGTTGATTAAATTCTAAAGGTAAATAGATAGCATGGCAATCATAATTAATAGTACTGTAGTGAACACTTGAAATTTGCTAAGAGAGTAGATATTGTGTTCTTACCAAACATAGAGATAACTATGTGATAGATAACTAACTATGTGAGGTGTTGGGTATGATAATTAGCTTGATTGTGGTAATCATTTTACAATGTATACATATAAAAAATCACCACGTTGCACCTTCTATATACACAATTTTTATTTGTTAATTATACTTCAGTAATGCTGGGAAATTAATATATAATAAATGAAATTGACCACGTTGCAAAACTGTGAAGAATAAATGAAATAATATAAATACAACTGCCGGCACAAGGTCAGAACTTTTCTCTGTGTCCCAGAAAGAATACTTGTCATTGAATTTTTCTCTTATGACATGCACAGGTGCCAGCCTTGCCTGGAGTGGCTGGGGAGCTCCTGGTGAGATGTGCCAAGGTCTTTGCTGGGGGTGAGGGTGCAGCACTGGCCCCATATCATAGATAGGCAGGAACACAAATCTGTTTCCAGATCACACCCCTGTCTCAGTGTTCATCACTTTGTTCAGACACACACAGTTGTCTATCTCAAGGCTGCAGTGAGGCTGAGAGCCACAGAAAATTCCTGTACAGCACTTCTTAGAAGGAGGTTTTAGAGGCAGAAACTTTTCACTCAGCCCAGTACATATCGCTTTCTGAGTCATCTGTTCTTTGTTTGGGAATGCTGCTGCTTCCTGTAGTAAGAGGGAAGGGCTCCACTTTTCAGCCTGAGCAGATAGGTATTGGTTGTGGTGGTGGTGGCTGGTTGGGTCAGCCCAACCTCTGGCTCCCAAGTAGTAGTGGACTGGGCTAGATAATTCCCCAATTTCCAGGCCACTAGGTAGCCTGCTGGATGGTGTGTCCAAGTCCAGAAATGGCAGGACTAGGTCGTGTCAGCCCAGATTTTATGTGCTGGCCATAATAGGGAAGGTCGAGCTTGTATCCTGGTCACTGGCAGAACTCTCAGGTAGGGGCAGACAGAACACTCAGGCAACGGGGAGCCCAAGGGCAGATCACAGGGCTGCAGGGCCTGGGCCACAGCTGAAATGGTCAGGAAGAAACAGAGCAGTTATGCTGTGGGCCTTCTAATGGGGAGGACAGGCCCCTCCAATGGGGCTATGTGGACTGGCACCTGTGGGACGCATGGTATGCTCACACCTCTCTCTCACAGAAGCAATGCTGGGTTTTGCTGTTAGGGGAACATGAAGGCTCTCTGTCCGCTCCCTGGCCCATGGGCTGCAGGGGCAGGGAGACGGCAGTGAAAGAGGATTTGGAAGGCCTATTGGTAGCCTCTGTGAGTTGGTGGCCTCTAACAATTGAGCTGTGGCTGCAGTGTTTAGGCAGGGACAGGGGAAGTGTGCCAGAGGCCTATTAGCAAAGCAGGCAAGCCCCACTTGGCAAGGAGCCATAGAGGCAAGGGGTCACGCAGTGCACAGTCGGTTTGCTTCTTTACACTGTGGTTGCAGGTTCTGTCTTAGGGGTATGCAACATTGTCCTACCTCCTCATTTTCTCTCTGGCCTGTGTGTGGCAGGGGTTGAAGCAGCAGTGGTGGCGACTAGAAAGGGCCTAAAAGCAACTTCTGTGAGTTGGGCTCTCTGAGGAACACTGAGCCACTGCTGCAGTGTTCAGGAGGGGTTAGGGCAGCTGCACTATGCCAGGGCTTGTCACTGGAGCAGGCAAACCATGCCTGGTGGGGAGCCATCGAAAAGATTGTGGACAGTGTGCATTCTGTTCACTCCTCTGCACTGGACTATGGTGTCTGCCTTGGGGGCACCTGAAATTTCCCCACCTCTCAGTTTCTTCCCTGGACCAAGAGTGCTGGAGCAAATGTGGTGGTGGTGGTGGCTGCAGAGGGCCTATCAACGCTTTTGGGAGTTGGCAGCCTCTGGGAGTTGAGCTGTGGTTGCAGTATTTAGGCAGGGGCAGGGCAGGTGCACCAGGGGCTGGTCTCCAATGTGGGAAAGTCCCATCTGGTGGAATGCGGCAGAGGCGGGGATTCACATGTTGCGTTGTCTGCTCACTCTGTTGTACGGCAGCTAGAGTTTCTGTCCTCCGGAAGCGTGAAAATGTCCAGCCTTGCTTCTTGGCTGGGCAGCAGCAGCTGGCACCAGGCTGTTTGGGGATCAAAAGCCTGTTGGATTCCACATGGGCTTGAGCAGTGCCTCTGCTTAGACTCCTGGCAGCTCTCTGTGGTAGTCTGTAGGCTCAGGGAAGTCAAGGGGCTCTCCTATGACTAGCATTGTAAAGGTTCATGTCAGAGGTGTGGAATTTTCAGGGTCTATTACATGCTCATCCCATACCCGTGTTAAAAAACCTCACCTGGCTCACATCGGTCTCAGCTTGGCAGCCTGCCCAGCTTTGCTCTTCTTTGTTCTGTGCTTCCTGTTTCTCTAGTGAATTTTAGGATCCACTCTGAGAGGATCTTTTTGAGGTGTTAGTGTGTACTCACAGTGTTAACTCCTCTCCATGAGAAGGGCACTCACTAGCTGCTTCTACTTAGCTATCCTGAACTGGAACCTGTGCAAAACTTTTATGTGGCCACAGTACAAAATTCTATTTCAAATTACAGAGAGATCTGGATAACACTTTTGTTATTTATTTATTTATTTATTGTTTTTTAGAGACAAGATCTTGCGGCTGGGCGCGGTGATCACGCTTGTAATTCCAGCACTTTGGGAGGCCGAGGCAGGTGGATCAACTGAGGTGGGGAGTTTAAGACCAGCCTGACCAACATGGAGAAACCCCATCTCTACTAAAAATACAAAATTAGCCGGGCATGGTGGCACGTGCCTGTAATCCCAGCTACTCGGGAGGCTGAGGAAGAAGAATCACTTGAACCCGGGAGGCGAAAGTTGCGGTGAGCCTAGATCACGCCATTGCACTCCAGCCTGGGCAACAAGAGCGAAACTCCATCAAAAACAACAACAACCACAAAAAAAGATTTTGCACTGTCATCCAAGAGGAGAGTGGTGTCATAATCACAGCTCATCGTAACCTCAAACTCCCGGACTCAAGTGATTCTCCCAACTCAGCCTCCCAAATAGCTGTAAGTACAGGCATGCACCACCATGACTGGCTATTTTTTTTAATAGTTTATAAAGACAAAATTTTGCTATGTTGCCCAGATTGGCCCAAACTCCTGGTCTCAAGTAATATTCCCACCTGAACCACCTAAAGTGCTAGGATTACAGACATAAGCCATTGTGTAGAACCCAGAGAACATTTTTTTGTAAACAGTATTGTTTTTGAAATATCAGAGGTTTGGTCTAGGTCCTGATGCTCATTATATAGAAAGCCAATGACTGAAATGGCAAGTATTGCCAGTGAAGAAGGCTTTAATCTGGTGCTGCATTTTAAGGGCTTAATCTCAAATTCATTTCCCTGACCTACGAAATCTAGGTGTTTACATAGCAGGAAAGAAATGTAACAATGTCAAAGAAAACAGGAACTAAGGAGGGGCTAGGAAGCAATCATGATGAATGAGGAGGCTGGCATTTCTTTGACTGGATGCAGTGATCTCTTGAGTTTCAGTTCTTTGATACTTTTTGAGAGGCCTAGAGGTCCTTTCCTGAGAAAGAAACTCAGACAAAACAAATGTTTCAACCTTTAATACCAGAAGGGTCAAATTCTATGTTTATCCAAAAAAAAAAAAAAAAAACAAAAAAAAAAAACCAGACTGTCTATGATAATATTGAGTCAGTTTCACTATGGCCAACTTTCAAGCTGTTGTTTCATTTTAAAATATCAGGTCGAGTTTTTTGTACTTTTGCTGAGGTACCACCATTCCATTTATTACCAAGAAAGTGCTCAAAGTATTACTCACTTTAGCGAGTTAACTACTGCACAGTCATTAATCAATTATTAGCACAGAACATGATTGTTTCCAACTTTGGCTCATAGATGGGTATCATAAATGTATGAATGAATAAATGGAAGTATGGGTGAGTGATTGGTTGGAAAGAGAGCTATTCATTAGAATAGATGCTCCGTCAATGATGATGGAGAGATTGGTGTGAAAGATAAACAGATGATAATAGATCCAACTGGCCTATGTAAAAGCATTGCCTGTTTATGTATTAACATTAAACATTTGATTGCCTGGCAGATTGCTTGCTTCCTTCCATGGATTAGTGCATTTTCTTCTTGTAGTTAGGCCACCCTAGAAGGCAGATTTAAATTACAAAATTTTGAGAGGAGAGACTATCTTTGTTCACACCTTTATAGACAATTGCTTGGTATAATCATGCTAATGGTAAAGCATATCTGTTTGTTGAGTTTGGATTTTTCTATTTTTTTTTTTTTTTTGAGACGGAGTCTTGCTCTGTTGCCCAGGCTGGAGTGCAGTGGCACGATCTCGGCTCACTGCAAGCTCTGCCTCACGGGTTCACGCCATTCTCCTGCCTCAGCCTCCCGAGGAGCTGGGACTACAGACACTCGCCACCATGCCCAGCTAAATTTTTGTATTTTTAGTAGAGATGGGGTTCCACCATGTTAGCCAGGATGGTCTCCATCTCCTGACCTGGTGATCCTCCCACCTCAGCCTCCCAAAGTGCTGGGATTACAGGCGTGAGCTACCGCCCTTGGCCGATTTTTCTATTTTGACTCCTAGAGAGCAACCTAAACTCTATTAGACCTAAGTTGATAATAGGTGATGTTCCTTGTCATTTTTTTGTAACAATAGTACTTTTTTGATGAGAATGCTATTTATCAAGCATATTAAGAGCTAACTACAAAAGCTAGAAATTACATTGTTCTGATCAGGTTTCCATTGTAAGAAAAAGATGGCAATATCATTTTCACCAGCTTTTTTACAGTGCTATAATAATGACACCACGAAGATACTGAGGACCAATTAAGACATTGTTTTAATTTTAACCTGGCTGTATATGACGTTTTGTGTTTGTCTCTCATCTTTTTGTTCCACATCTGTTACACTTAAGTTACCTATTATATCTTTAAAAACAAGACCATTCAGCTCAGTTAAATAGTTTGTAAATTTTCTGTTTAACTTTCTAATGCATAAAAATTTTAAAAACTCAATTTTTTTGTTCATCAGTACTAAGGTTATATTTTTCTTTCACTATTTTTTAAATTTTACTTTAAGTAAAATAAGAACTTTACTTGCGTTCTGGAATACATGTGTAGAATGTGCAGATTTGTTACATAGGTATACATGTGCCATGGTGGGTTTGCTGCAGCCATCAACCTGTCATGCATTAGGTATTGTCCTAATGCTCTCCCTTCCCTTGTGCCCCACATCTCGACAGGCCCCAGTGTGTAATGTTCCCCTCCCTGTGTCCATGACGCCTCCCTGTGTCCATGTGTTCTCATTGTTCAACTCCCACTCTTGAGTGAGAACATGCGGTGTCTGGTTTTCTGTTCCTGTGTTAGTTTGCTGATAATGCTGGCTTCCAGCTTCATCCATGTCCCTGCAAAGGACGTGAACTCATTCTTTTTTATGGCTGTATAATATTCTGTGGTATATATATGCCACATTTTCTTTATCCAGTCTATCATTGATGGGCATTTGGGTTGGTTCCAAGTCTTTGCTATTGTAAATAGTGCTGCAATAAACACACCTGTGCTTGTGTCTTTATAGCAGAATGATTTATAATCCTTTGGGTATATACCCAGTAATGGGATTGCTGGGTCAAATGGTATTTCTGATTCTAGGTGCTGAGGAATCGCCACATTGTCTTCCACAATGGTTGAACTAATTTACACTTCCACCAACAGTGTAAAAGTGTTCCTGTTTCTCCACAGCCTCTCCAGCATCTGTTTCCTCACTTTTAAAATAATCTCCATTCTAACTGGTGTGAGATAGTATCTCATTGTCTTTCACTATTTTTAATGTCTCTTGAAGACACTTAGTTTTGCAGTCTTCATATATCATTGTGGTATCATTTCCCTAATGACAAAGTTATCCAAAGTATTTAATGTTCAATATAAACCAAATTTCATAAAAAACTGTTAATTCACATATTTTTCTATTTTTAAATTTCATTGTATGCTGTTTTTCCTTTAAATCTATTTTGTATTCATTTAAAATTCCTAGGCTATGCTATATTCAATAATATTTTTTAAAGCTATTCTATAAAATGGCAGTATAGCAAAGTCATAAAGAAATAGCAGTAGCCACATTTTTAATGTTAACTCTATTCTGTTATTGTTCTAAATCCTCTTTACATATATCTATAACTTACAAAATCAGATGAGATTCTAACCAATTTATAGATAAGAAAACCCAGATTAAGTGTGGACTAAGTGTAAGTACCTGCTCTCAAATTACAAGAGCTTGATCTATTTGACACATATGGCAGGGCTCTAACCCTTTATTGGTGCCAATTCTGTCAATGGGATCTTAGTCATCTCAACAAATATGTAGTTCTCTTTAAAATGTTCATTGCTAGAAGAATGTATAGCACAGTAACCTGCAATTATTTATTCAGAAACAACAAAATCCTGAGAGCTCATTTTACCTCCACATGAAATAAACCAATATTACATTGTTAAAATATGTTTCTCTATTCAAAAGAAATTCAGTAGTCTTTTAACTTTCAACTTCTTTTTTTTTAATTTTACAAATTGCATCTTTTTTTCACAAATTGCATCTTTTTTTCTATGTTAGGACAAAGAGAAAGGGAAAAATTAATTTTGTTGACATAAATAAAATCATATATTAACTTTTTATAATTTTTAGTTTACTAAGAGCAAAAGATAATGAGGTGTATTGAGAACATAAGCTATCAAAGAGACATAAAATTGATAATTGGCCTTCTGTGTATGCATATCAACTATGCCAAATAGACTATTTAAAACTATTTACCACTTTCTGAGTAATTTGTAGATAAATAATTCTATTCTGGTAATTTATAAAATAAGTTCAAATAATAAAGAAATAAAGCATACATAGAGAAATATTATGTACTTCACAGTAGTGGAAATAGAGTAAATCATCATGGGTAGCTTTAGAACTGTGCAAGTGGACAACAATATAGTTTACCATACTTGTAGAAATAAATAGCACATTAAAACTCTTTGTGATACTTTTGATGTACTTCTGATGTGTTCCACTTTCTACTTTGTAAGTGGACCAGTGAGAGTTATTGGAAGCTTTAGCAAAGAGAAAAGCCAACAGATATGGAAAATGGAGGAAAGTATACACTGTAAAACCAAAAAAAAAAAAAAAAGAAAGAAAGAAGGAAAGAATAAAGGGAGGAAAAAAGGATGGGAAGAAGGAAAGAAGTAAGAAAGGAAGAAAAACACAAAAAGAAAAAAGAAATGGAGAAGAATGTAAGCATACAAATCATGTCAGTGATCATATATATAAGTGCTGTCACTACCCACTCCTGATCTAATGGATGCTAATTTTCCTTCCCATTGAGCCTAAATATGTCATTGGAAACATCAGGTATCACTCCAGATAGCTCTCTTAATTACTCAATATGAGGTAAATCCTACTTGTCACTCTGAGTTATTAGGTTTCTATTTTATCAAGAATTTAATGTGCACTTTGGGAGGCCGAGGTGGGCGGATCATAAGGTCAGGAGATCAAGACCATCCTGGCTAACACGGTGAAACCCCGTCTCTACTAAAAATATAAAAAATTAGCCGGGCGAGGTGGCAGGCGCGTATAGTCCCAGCTACTCGGGAGGCTGAGGCAGGAGAATGGCGTGAACCCCGGGGGGCGGAGTGTGCAGTGAGCCGAGATTGCGCCACTGCACTCCAGCCTGGGCAACAGCGAGACTCCGTCTCAAAAAAAAAAAAAAAAAAAAAAAAAGAATTTAATGTCTTGTTGAAAAGACAATTAAGCAAACAATCCCATCAACAATAACAATAAAAATAGTAACATTTAATCATATTAAATTTAGGAATGAATTTAACCAAATAGTTAAAAAACTTATATACAGAAAATTATACAATGTTAATGAAGGAAATTACAAAATACACAGATGAATGGATTAGATTAGTGTTCATGAATTAGAATAACTGATTTTTTTAAAGACACAATTTCCAATTCCAAAGCAAGTTAGTGTTGTTAAAAGTCCATACTACACAAAATGATCTAAAGATTTAACACAATCCCTATCAAAAACCCAATGGCATTTTTTTATATAGAAATTGAAAAAATTATTTTAAAATTCATATGGAATCATACAAAACCCTGAATATCCAAATCAATCTTGAACAAGAATAATAATACTGGAGGCATCACACTTTGTGATTTTAAGACATATTACAAAGCTACTGTAATCATAACATATGGGATTGACATTAAAACAGACACATAGAACAATGGAACAGAATAGAGAGCCCAGAAATATATCTGCACATCTATAGTCATCTGATCTTTAACAAGCATACAAAGAATATGTGAAAGAAAAATGATAGTATCTTCAATGAGTTGGGCAATAGGAAAATGGTATTTGGAGAACTGAATATTCAAATGAAGAAGAATGAAGTTGGTTGGATTTTTATCTCACCATCTACAAAAATCAACCCTAACTGGATTAAAGACTTAAATGTAAGACCTGAAACTGTAAAACTACTAGAATACAACATAAAAAATGTTTTTTTGAAATTTGTCTGTACAATATTTTGGATTTGACACCAAAGGCATAGGAAGCAAAAACAAAGATAGACAAATGGGATTGCTTCAAACTAAAAAAGCTTCTTCATAGCAAAAGAAATAATTAACAAAGTAACAAGGCAAACTATTGAATGGGAGAAAATATTTGTAAAACATACACAATCATGCATTGGTTAATGATGAAAACACATTCTATGAAATGTATTGCTGGGTGATTTCATCATTATGAGACATCACAGATTGTACTTAAACAGAACTAAATGGTACAACCTACTACACACTTTGGCTGTATGGTATAACCTATTGCTCCTATGCTACAAACCTATACAGCATTTTACTCTACTAAACACTGCAGGCAATTGTAACTCACTGGTAAGTATGTGTGTATCTAAACATACCTAAACAGAAAAGGTATAGTAAATACACAATATTATAATCTTGTGGTACTTCCATCAGATGTGTAGTTAATCATTTACTGAAACATCTTTATGTGGTGCATTACTGTATAGATAATGGGTTGATTATAAACACGCATAAAGAACTCATATGACTTACAAGCAAATTGAAATTAAACTCAATGAAAAAATTGACAAAGGGCTTGAGTATACATTCCTCAAAAGAAGACATATAAATGGTCAACAGGTATATGAAAAGTTGCTTAGTCTCACTCATCATCAGGGAAATGCAAACCAAAACCATAATGAAATATCACTTCACGCCTGTTAGAATAGCTATTATCAAAAAGAGAAAAGAAAACAAGTTTTGGAGGGGATGTAGAGAAAAGGGAAGTGGAGTTTGCACACTCTTGGTGGGAATGTAAATTGGTATAACCATTGTGAAAAACATCATGGAAGTTCCACAAAAAATTAAAAATAGAACTATGTTAAGATCCAGCAATCCCACTTCTCATTGTATATTGAAGAGTAATAAACTAAAGAGCTCCAAGAGATATCTGTACTCTTATATTTACTGCAGCATTATTCACAATAACCAAGATATGGAAACAATATAAATGTTCACCAACAAATTAATGAATTAAAAAAAGGATATGCACACACAATGGAGTATCATTCAGCTTTAATAAAAGAGAAGTTTTGCCATTTGCAACAACATGGATTATCTTGGGTGACATTATGTTAAGTAAGATAAACTAGACATAAAAGACAAATACTGTGTGGTTTCACTTATATATAGATTCTAATGTAGTTGAACTCACAGAAACAGAATACAAATAGTGGCTACCAGGGGATGAGTGGATGAAAATATGGGGAGATGTTTATCAATGGGTACAAAGTTTCAGTTATGTAAGATAAATTCTGAAGATCTAATGTACAGCAATGTGACTATAGTTAACAACATGGTATTGTACACTTAAAACTTGCCAAGAGGGTAGATCTTTACTTTACACACACACACAGTCACACTCACATTCACTTATGCATGCGTACACACAAAAGAACAAAAAAAGTAAGTATATGTGGTGTTGGATATGTTAATTAGTTTGACTGTAGTGAATATTTCATAATGTACATGTATTTCAAATCATCAAGTTTTACACCTTAATTATATACAATTTTAAGTTGCCAACTACACCTCATATTGAAAAACAATTTATTGCCTTGTTAAGTGTATTATTCCATTTTCACACTGCTGATAAAGACATACCTGAGACTGGGCAATTTACAATAGAAGGAGATTTAATGGAATTACAGTTCCACATGGTTGGGGAAGCTTCAAAATCATGGTGGAAGGTGAAAGGCACGTCTCACAGGGTGGCAGACAAGAGAAGAGAGTTTGTGTATGGAAACTCCCCTTTTTAAAACCATTAGATCTCATGAGACTTATTCACTGTCACAAAAAAAGCATGGGAAAGACCTGCCTCCATGATTAAATGACCTCCCACTGGGTCTCTCCCACAATACCTGGGAATTCAAAATGAGATTCGGGTGGGGAAATAGCCAAACCTTATCATTAAGTGACTCTCTTTGTATGTTAAAGAGTAACCTTAGTGTACAAATGTTGTCATTTTGTTGTTTTGTATGTTATTTTTTAATTGAGATCATTGATAACACAGGATTTACCCTCTTAACAAATTTTAAGTGTATAGTACAGTATTAGCTATAAGCACAGTGTTATACACTAGTGCTTATAGTCTAGTATGTGTAGTCTAGTATAGTCTAGTAGTATAGATCTCTAGTATGTATAATACTAATATTGCATAACTGAAACTTCATACCAGGAAGCTAACTGTAGTAGAAATGATTTTGGAAAGGGTATCTCTATATAGTTCACAAGGATATTAAAAGAAAGAGAAGATTGCCATGAGATTAAAAACAAGGGCTTATGCAATTATATCTGCATTAAAAAAAAAGCAACAAACAATGTAAAAAAAGCAAACAACATTTGAGGAGTTTCTTTTGAAATGTTGTTTTTTGTCTCTTTTAAATGATAAAACGGCATGAGCCTGTTTCTAATCTCATGATAATCTTCATTATTTTTCTTCTAATATCTCTGTGAATATAGACAGATATATTTTCTAAAGTCATTTTCACTATATCTGCCTTCTACATGAAGAGGATTTGAGAGTTATTAAGAGTTTACCAGACAGTCTGACACAGTCAACAATGTCACACTTAGGTACCTCTCCTTTCCTATTGATGCCTCTTCGTGAAATGGTAACCTTACAAAATTACTTTCCTGGAGGTCCGAGGAAGTCCCTGGACATCATTTTTTTCTCTTCTCTTCTTATTTTATTTTTTTAATGTATTGTTTGAGACAGGGTCTCATCTGTCACCCAGGCTGGAGTGCAGTGGCAGAATCACGGCTCACTGCAACCTCTGCCTCCTGGGTTCAAGCAATCCTCCCACCTCAGCCTCCAGGGTAGCTGGGACCACAGGCAGACACCACTACACCTGGCTGTCAACATTATTTTCTTAAAAAAATTAATTTATTCATTCAGTTATATCACTAATACATTCAAATAATTTCTGGACAACTCTTTCTCTAAACCATGGGGGCCACGAATGTTTCGTAATGCAGATTGTTTTTGGATTTTAACATATTAATAAGTGGCATATACATCTCAAGTTCATTAAAACCAGAGCAGCGTTCTATAATAAAATGTTCTCATATTGCAGATGATTACGAATAGTCATACTATGTGAGCTAAATAATTGCCATAAGAAGACTCATGCAGATGCAGGGCTGCTTTTAACTGCCAAGTTAGTTGTACAAAACTTTCAATGGCAACAACAGCAACAACGACAAAAAATCTTTTGGTTTTCAAAACTTTCAGGGTGTCTGGATTGCTACTGTGATATTGAGAAACATATTATTAAAAAGGAGATTTAAACTTTATTAAACTCTTTTCTTATTAAAAGTGATATTTGATCATTCAAATCTACACATTATCTAGATTCTAATTATATAGGCAATTAAATTATTTTACGACCTTTACTTTTTACATTTAAGTAAATGGAATGTAGACAAAGGTATCATATTATTTATTTCATTCACATGAATACATGGGTCAAGGTTTACTATGGTTTATTGGGTTTTCCTCCCCACTCAGTATAGTGTTCCTTAAATAGATTTTTACTTAAAATCCATGCAAAGCAATGAAATTCCACAAGACCATATGAGTGTTTTCTGGTATGTATGCCGAATTATATCCTGAATTTTTAAAAGCATATATTAACAATAAATGTATTGCCAAGAAGAAAGGTGATATTGAACTGAAGAACCAACATTTTGGCAAAGCATCATTACCCACAGGAGTCTCATTAAATGCTTTGGCACAAAAATTAGGTAAACAACATGTGGTTTAGCAAATTTATTTTAGCCTCCAGGGGAGGACTTTAGCATAGGGAGAACAATATGGAACATTAACTTTTACTGTGTTTCTCAAATGGTCATTGCTATTTTATGGAGATGAGGACCCAGGTAATATTACAAAGTTTCCCAAGTAAAATGATCTCAAGCATGCAGGCATTTGATATTGGACACTTTACTATTACTACTACTAACATCCTCACTCTCCACATTGGGAGTGTGGGATAAAGCAGTGTGTTATAATTTATCACATTTACATTTTTGTTATGTTTTCTTCTTATGAACTCACTATAGAACACAACTTCCTAATTAAAATCTAAATTTAATGTGATCACTGCCACATTTTATTATGTTTCCTTTAATCTCTAGATTTTGTCTTTTTTTATCACTCCCTATTGAAATAAAGTCCACCCAAATGAGAGCTGGAAGAAGCTGTTTTCAGAGATTCAGAGGCAGGCAGGTGAGTGTGAAGGCTTTAGGGTGAAAGAAAGGGAAGGCTTCAGTCATGCTCTGAAAGAAGGGTGTCATGGGGAGGTTGAAGGAGGGCAGACTCAAAGGAGAACATCATTTTGTGACTACTCAAGTGGCGGTGGGGCTCCTGCCTGTGGTGGGGAGTTGCAGGGCTTGGGGCTTGACTTTCTCTGGTTGGTCCTAATTGCAAGTCAGAGAGAAAGAGGAGAAAGTTTTTGATCAAGTCCTGACCTTTCTGAGCCACTGCTTCTGAGTTTGTGGTTTGGTTCTGGACTGGTTGCTACAGTGGTTGTGGGTCAGGGCTCTGTTGGCATGTGTAGATTGGTCATTGTCCACTTGTACAACCAGTGTCTCTTTAGGCCTTTGTACACGCACCACTGTGACACAGATTCTCAGCAGTGGACAAGGTTTAGGAGTTCAGTCGCTGACCCATTCCTCTCTGCTTTGAGAATCAATCACACGATAGATTCCACTGTTTTACATTTTAGATAATAGAGTAGAAATTTTTTTTTAACTGTTTGAGTTTAGAGAGTATGTAGTTGGCTTAAAGTCACATAATTTGCAGTTTTAAAATTTAACTACTTCAAACTCTAACAAAGGATCATTTTTTTTTTTTTTTACCATAACTATATGGTAGATGACCACAGCAAGAAGAACAGACAGAAATCCGTAAGGATAATTCGTCTAAGCTAATTATAGTTAAAGCATTACTGACTTATAAAAACTCAGGATTATGCTCTCAAAGGCAATCACATTTATATTATTTTTATTTAAAATATATATTACATGTAATATAAACTATACACACAATATATTGAACTATATGGAAATTGAAACTGTGAAATCCCGTACTGGGCTGCACCTCTTTTATTGACTACTATTTTCTTACCACATTTGGTGACACAGCATACGTGCTCCCAATCACATTCAATGATTCTTAATCAGTTCTCCTACCACTCTCCTCCACACACTGACATATGCATCAATTATTCATGGCTATTATCCTTTATTGGCAAAACCTGATTCAGACAAGAAGCAGCACATAGTTTCTTCTATGTGGAAAAAATAAACTATTTTTTTAATATCAATAATCTTGCCTTAGAGTTCCTTCGTGAGTTTTATTTTGCTGGATTATCTGTTTTCTTCACTTAATCTTCAAGGTAATAAATTCTTAATGTGCTGAGTTTATTATTTCTGTGTGGAAGATTTTTTTCTTCGCATTCTCTTCGTTCAACAGCTTTGAAATTTGTCATGGATCAGCTCCTATGTTAGATGCTATAAGTAAATCTACAGCCCTTACAGTCATGGAGATTTGTCATTTTCATATTGGTATTTTCTTTTAAAACATATTTAGAAAGTACTTACATAAACATAGAACTTAATATTTTTTCACACATTCTTAATTTTTGTCCTAATCTGAGCCCTCAAATTTGTGGTTGTTTTAGTTACCGTTGTTATTTTTGTCTATGTACTAACATTGTAAACTTGAAGTAACAAAAGCATTCTCAATTCTTACAATCACTAATTGTCTCTTAAAAAGGGGGGGTTACAAGTGGTTCAGTAGACAAATATATTTTGTGGTGTATACTGCAAAGGAAAAAGTCTGTCAAAATAACTTCCCAAAATATATCTTAATTACTTTGCTGATTTTAACATGTGTTCACAAATTCTTTGCTGGTCTTCCCTCCAGGAGGTGGGCTTAATTGCCCTCCCCTTGGGTGTGAGTTGGACTAACTCCCTTCTAAAAACAGAACGGGCAAAAGGTAAAAAGATAATTTTGCATTAGAAAAATCTAGCAGACACTACTACAACCAAGTGCTCAAGCTTAATATCACCAGTGATAAGTATGTGAATTTAATCTTCCGCCTGATAGGCTGCTATGAGTAGGGCACTTCACTTTTCTGACATTGTCTCAACATTCCTAATGATACAGACAAGAGGCAGGGAATACTGGGTAGAAAAGGGCGGGTGCCTGGCAAGGGCTCCATCTTCAAGGCTGGGCCGGTGGCCCTAAATAAGAACTTCACATCCCTGTTTTCCCACCCAAAAGTTGCTTTTTGGCTCACAACACGCCCCCCACCCCCGACGTCTTGTGCCTATATAAACCCCAGACCTCAGCTGGCAGAGAGACAAGCAGCTGAACATCTAGAAGAGAAAAAGCAAGTGAGCATCAGAGACTAGGGATAGACGTGGCTTAACGTCAGACAGCATGACTTTGGAGAGGAGCCCAGCCAGAGGCAGCGGGGCTTCAGAGAAACATCACCTTCTTCCCACACCATCCGTTTCCAGCTCCAAATCCTGCTGAGAAGCCACCTTTATCACTCAATAAAACCTCCGCATTCACCATCCTTCAAGTCCATGTGACCTGATTCTTCTTGGACACTGTACAAGGACCAAGGTACCAACAGGAAAGGGTGTAAAAGGCTGTCACCCTGACTCTCCACTGAGCTGGCTAACACTTAGCCATCCGCTGATGGCAACTACTAAAAGAGCATTAATTTTAACACACCCCCAGATGTTACCATGGGGCTGGAGCCCAAAAGCGCTTGCCCCAGCCCCGGCACCCGCTCATCTGTGTGCTTTCCCTCCCACAAGGGGTTTGAATGGTGGCAGCCAAGTAAGCAAGCCACATCCCTGTTGTAAGTCCGTCAAAGTGGTCCAGGGAACTATCCCATCTCACTAACATCAATTTAGTCGTGAGAAAACATCAGGTAAACCCAAACAGAAAGACATTGTAAAAATTACCTGACCATAACTTCAAAAGTTTCAAGATTGTAGTGTAGAAAAGACAATTTCATTACTTTCCCTTTTAGGTTTTTAGTTGAGACAATCTCCAGAACACAAAAGTCAAATTAACAAAAGAAAAACAAGCAGATGTTTATTAGTGTGTGCGGTACCCATCGTGTGGGGAAGACTTAGTTTAAAACTATTTCTCTCTGAAGGAAGTGCTCTAGGGGCCTTGCTTAAATAGTGTTTAAACAAAGAACCATAGATCATATATAGTGAGAAGACAAAGGAGAGAGCACTTCCCATCTTTTATAAGATGGGAAAATGTGGGAAGATAGGGATTTTTTTCCCAGATTCCTCTGGTGCCTGCTGATGCCTTATCTGGGCTAATGTGGAAGTGCTGCTCCAGTCAGAAAGGGTTAATGTTGGTTAAAGGGTTAACCATCCCTTTTCCAGTTCCCCATCCTGCTGAGAGCCACCTCCATCACTCAGTAAAGCCTCTGCATTCACCATCCTTCAGGTCCATGTGACCTGATTCTTCCTGGACACCGGGTAAGAACCAGGGTACCAACAGGGAAGGGTGTAAAAGGCTGTCACCCTGACTCTCCACTGAGCTGGTTAATAGGCAAATAGAAGCTGCGGCAGATTGCTTCCCTGCGTGTTCAGTGTCTTCAACCTAACAGTCTTCAGCATCTGGGGGAGGAGAGGAGGGGAATAATTAGTTTCCTTCAAGATCCTGAAAAATAAGAAAAGGCTGAGAAATATTACAGATCTGAGACAACTAAGGAGGCATGACAAGTAAATGCAACCTGGTATACCGGACTATGTAATGCTGGAACAGAAAAAGCTGTAAAACTGGTGAAATATGAATAATGTCTGTAGTTGAGTTAATCCTATAGTGCCAAAATTAATTAACTTGCACAGGTGTGCAATAGTTAACATGTTAAAATTAGGAGAAGCAGGGTGAGGGATGTACAGAAATCCTCCACAGTCTTTGTAACTCTTCTGTTAATCTAATTGATTTCAAAAGTAAAGCATTAAAAATAATAATCTCTATCACATTACCTAATACTGACCGATTATGAACATATTCTCTTTTTTCCCTCTAGATCAACCATTTCTCAGTCTAGCTTCCCTCTTTGCTAATGTCAAGTTTCTGTTTTAAGTTGGCTTATTTCTCTTTTAGTTGAAATGTGAACACTAGGGAATATAAAGAGCACTGTACCATCTGAAAAATACAAGAATATTGGGAATTTGTGATGAGCTGATACTTTCCACCTAGGCCTCTTGCAGTTGAAGGGGCACTTACCTGGGTATCTGAAGATTCAGATCTGGCCCCAGCTAAAACACTAATAGGCATGTGATGATGACTGCATTATTTAACCTTTTTGAATTCAAATTTCGTATCTGAATATTCAATTATCTTTATTTAAATTTAAGAAATAACAACTCTGTCATTGGTAATTTTAGAAATCAGCTGTATTACTAAAATAGAAAAATTTAATGTATGTGTATCAAGGTTGCTAGTATAAGTAAATATTGAAAATAAATCACATATGTGGCCGGGCGCAGTGGCTCACGCCTGTAATCCCAGCACTTTGGGAGGCCGAGGCGGATGGATCACGAGGCCAGTGGATCGAGACCATCCTGGCTAACACGGTGAAACCCTGTCTCTACTAAAAATACAAAAAATTAGCCGGGCGAGGTGGCGGGCGCCTGTAGTCCCAGCTACTCGGGAGGCTGAGGCAGGAGAATGGTGTGAACCCAGGAGGCAGAGGTTGAAGTTAGCCGAGATAGCACCACTGCAGTCCAGCCTGGGCGAAAGAGCGAGACTCCGTCTCAAGAAAAAAAAAAAAAAAAGAAAAGAAAAGAAAAGAAATCACATATGTATATAGTGCATAAAATAATTAGAAAACATAATTTAGAATATCATTTATAATATCAACAGAAAAGAGTACCTAGAACAAAATGGAACATCTTCATGAATTGAATAATGATTCAATGTAATGCCAATCTGATTCTAAAAGTTATATAAAGAGGAAGAGCAAGAGCAAAGACTTGCTCAAAAATGTTTCAGTAATAACACTAGATAAATTTGTCCTGCTACATGTCCAGGATAAATCTATAGTAATTAAGGAGGCTGAGTAATAACACAAAGAAAAATAAACAGACCAAATGGAGGTCTGTGTTTATGAAAATGTTGATATGAGATAGATGCTGCATTTAGAGTAAATGCAGCATGGTAGATTCTGCAGTAATAAAAAATAAAAATGAGAAAATAAATTATCTAAATAGGCAAAGTATCATTGACATCATAGACAACAATTAACACCACAGAAATTAAAGATGTAATATGAAAAGCAAGACATTAAGACATGTGAAAGTATACAAAGATATTTTTATATCCTTGAATAAGGAAGCATTTTATTTAAATCAACATAAAAAGCACAAATACACAGGAAAATATTGATACAGTCAGCTACTGCAAGATTTTTTTGAAATCAAACAATACAGTAAATAAAATGAAAACACACGCTATAAATTAGGACAAGACACTGGTTAAACACTTAGTCAAGGAAGGATTGGCATTCAGAATATATAAAGAGTATTAAAATCAATAAGAAAAAATAATCCAATAGAAAAATGATCAAATTACATAAATGAGTGTTTCATATAAGCATCATAATTGAACATCTGAAAACATACTCAGCTTCATTAGTAACGAAGAAAATGAAAACTAAAATCATGGGAGATAGTATTTTTACATGTACTTCATCAAAACATCTACAATCTTATTATTGGTAAGAATCTGAAGCAAAAGGGGACACTTAAGCATAACTGGTATGAAAATGAATTGTTATAACCCTTTAAGAAAACACTGAGACACAATGTAATAGTATTGACCATTTCCATACCCTATAACCCAACAATACCATTCCCAGATGTACATGGGCACCAGCAGGCATTATAAGGCTGTTTACAGCAGTGTTATTCAAAATAATAACAAGATAATATCGAACAGGGAAAGGGAATAGATGTTAGCTGCAATAACAATGTAGGTGGACCCTAGAAACTAATGTGCAGAAAAAAATAAATCTCAGAAAAATGTATTTAGTATAATACTTGCACAAGCGTGGAAAGACTGTGACATAAATGTGGCCTGAAATAATAATCATTCAACAAAACAAGGATTTATTTCTCCTTATGTGGATGTCTATGTGAGTCAAGTGACATCTCAGAATGTTTGCTCAACATGTAGTGACTCAGAAATCCCAGCTGTCTCCAAGTATGGCTTTACCTCTCAAAATGTCATCCCCATTACTACTACAAAATGAGAAAATGCACGTAGATAATTCAGAATCTGCTCTTCTATGCTCTGGTCTGGAAGAGATACATGCCCTTTTAGTCATTTATCAAAAACAGTCAAGTGGTCCTGACTAACTGCAAGGAGGATAGCTAAATATGGGTGAACATTTGGCTGCCTAAGAAATAGCAAATAGATTTATCTCAACAGTTTTTAACAAGGTCAATACAACAACAATAATATATTGCTTAGGGCTAACAAAATATGTGATAAAATTGAAAAACACAAAGAGAGGGTAAAAACTAAGAAGAATAACTACATTAGGGAAGGAGACAAAACGATGGGGATCAGAAAGGTGAAGATCGTGTCAGTAACGTTTTATTTTTGATTTCGTGTCACTGGATCAGGATATTTATTTTGTTGTAAGTAATTCTAAAATAACTTACATTTAGATTTCACACTTTCTTTTTTATGGATAAAAAGTTTTATAATAAAGATAAAGAATAGCCATAATGTGATCATTTTAATTTTTGGAAAGATGGGCTTTCTTTTCTTAGAAGAAATATACAAGGAAAGTACTCACTATCACATTAAGGGATGAAATGACTCTTTAGTGAAAACCTATAAATTTCTTCTGTGTTGTAAATTTTTAATATTTTTTTCTTGACTGTGCCTCTCCGTTCTTCACCTGAGTTATTAAACATATTAAATAGCATAAAATTAAACTTTATGTTACCCCTAAGTAATGGCAAATCAGGTCTTAAGATTGATTTTGATAATCCACAAAAGTCAAGATTTGAAATATTTTATTCATGCCCTAAAAATTAGCTGGACTGAAAGTACATATATAAAAGTGTCTGGAAGTTCAAAGCTGCAGCCAAACCTGGCCTTCGGGAGAATCCAAAGAAAATTGCATTCTCAGAGGTTTCCCCATCGAAACCTTCATTTCAGAGCCCCAAAGCACAAAACCTGGCCTCATGACTTATCAATAGCTTCCTTCTAAGTGATTCTCTTCCTTTCTTCTTATCCCATAAGCTATTTACAGATAATACTTCGGTGAAGTCAATCCCTGGTGACCTTCTGTTCCTCAGGGAAGACAAGTGTTAGTCCTCCATGATATACTCAAGTCAGATTTTTGCACAGCCAATATAATCTTTCAGTTTTTCCTGAGGTTTTGGAACTCACTGGAACGTGACCTGCATAATAATTAGTCTGCAAAATGGAGGGAGTGGAAGAAATACACTTCATGCTAGGACTCCTGTCAGAAGAAAAACCACAAGAAATGAATGGAGAAAAAGTTTCTGTAAGGTTTTACCTGCCCCACTTTCTTAGCCTCTGACACTCACCCATGGTCCCAAGTGACACCACTTGCATGAATAGTGGAGATACCATGTCTAGGTGCCTCTGAGAAGATTCTAGTCTGTGTCCTGTGGGACTGAGGAATCTGTAGTTTTCTGAGTGGGTCAGTGGAGATTCCTCCAATTTCCAAAGGTATCCATCCTTCCTAATATCTGAGAAGCCATTACAATGATTTGGCCACAATAGAAATGTAAGAATTAATTTTGGACATTCTTTCAAGAAGGTGAAAACATATTATTGGAGAATTATTTTTAGGAAAAGCATAATGATCAAATAATTTCTTCTATCATTGCCCTTCTGATTAGAGCACATAACCCTGAATTATCTACTTTTGTACAAGTAGGCATATCTCATAAATATGGTCTCTCTGGTTTTTTTTAGGTGAATATTGCAGTTATTTGTGAAAAAAGTAATGGTTTTAGAAATACATAATTTATATAGATAAAACAATAAATTTTTTTTCTGATGATTGGGGAAAGATACAGCATAGTTTGTTATACTAATAATCAATTTTCACAATTAATAGAAAAACTTGTGGTTTTAAGCAAGACATATTTTTCTTTGTGTATTGCCTCAAAGTTATTTATTGTTGTTGGACCTGGCATATTTTAAATTGCTTCTGGCTATAGGGTCTTTAATCAACACTTCTTTAATGGACTATGCACTAATAAAAAAACCACCAATGAATTTTAATATTAAGGAAGATTCACTGTCAGTGGCATGTGATTCCTTCCCAAGAGAGACACAAGGACTCAGCTCCAACCCCTGAGAGACACATGGGCTCCACCCAGCAAAGGTGAGTGTGGGCTGCCCAGAGCCTTAGGAGTCAGTCCCACTGCTTCCAGCCAAAGGTGAGGGTTGCAGTGTGTTGGAAAAACTCCAGTGTGTCCTAAAGTTGGTATCCTTACCCATGTGGACCTAGAGGGCAGAGCATTGAGTGAAAGAAGATAATTTTTGAATCTTAGTCTTTGGACTTGCTCAGGATCTGTTACTCCTTTCTTCTTTTCTAATTCTCTCTTTTGGAATGCAAATATCTGTGCTATGCCTATCCCACCATTATATTTTGGAAGCACATATCATGTTTAATTTCACATGTTCACAACTAGAGAGCAATTTGCCTCAGAATGAATCATACCTTGAGTCTCGATCATATCTAATTTAGATGATATTTAGAAGATACTTTAGAGTTAGACTTTAAAGATGATGCAGGAAAGAATTAATATTTTGGGTTACTGGGATAAAGTATTATTTTGCATTTAAGAAGGACATAAGTTTTGGAGGGCTGTGGGTGGAATGCTATAGCTTGATTTTTTGTCTTTGCCCCAAATGCACATGTTGAAATTCTACCATCCAAGGTAATTGTTTAAGAAGTGGGGCCTTTTTGATGTAATTAGATCATGGGGGTTGAGCCTTTCATATTCAGTTGAGCCTTCCATAATTAACACTTTTATTAAAGAAACCCCAGAGATGTGTCTTCTTCCATATGAGCACACAACGAGAAGGCAACCAACCATCTATGAACCATAAAGCAGGCCCTCGCCAGACACAGAATCTATTGGTGCCTTCATCTTGGACTTCTCAGCCTCTAGAGCTGAGAAAACAAATTTCTGTTGTTTCAAAATTACCTAGTCTAAGGCATTTTGCTGTAACAGCAGGAACAAACTAAGACAGGAAAGAAACACCTGTGATAAGAAATTTAATACCCACACTAAGTTTTGTAGTTTTTTATGTTACTGATTTTTCTTCATTCATAAAATGGATAAAATAGAATGAAATTTTATTTGGTTATAGTATTAAAACACAGAAACTGAGTAATTCAAATTTCAAGGTAGTATAATTATTTTTGTCTACTAATAAGAATTGTATGAAATCATTTCACTTTTATTACAAAAATAATTACTTTTATATTTTGATACACTAAACATGTATAATTTCTGAAAAGCATTCAATTTTATTACTCACAGATTATTTTTAATGTTGAGTAACTACTATTAATGCTAGATATATTTATGTATGAGTTCAATAAATAATTTTAAAAGATGCTAAAAGCAATCTCTAACTTTTCTATCCATTAATGCTTACTTTTGACTTGAAATTGTAGGCAATGAAACTATTCTCCAATGGTTTAGTTATAGGTTTTAGGTGAATCTGCCACAGTTGAGTAAACTATTAAGGTTTTCAGAGAAATTAGAGTTCCAATATTGATAGGCCACTAATGTTTTCTTCTCCAATATCATCACACCCATACATATACAGCCACAAAACAAACACCCACATACTTCTTTTGTTTTTTCCTTAGAGACAGGGTCTCACTCTGTCATCCAGACTGGCACGCAGATTGGCATGCAATCATAGTTCACTGTAACCTTGAACTTCTGGGCTTAAGGGACCCTGTTACCCCAGTCTCCTGAGCAGCTAGTACTACAGGCATGCATCAGCACGCCCAGCTAATTTTTAAAATTTTTTTGTAGAGTAGGAGTCTCGTTATGTTGCCCAGGCTGGCACTCACACAATTCTGAAAGTAAATCGTCGTTAAGAGTTACTGGGCAGGAGTCTGTCTACCCTCCGTTCACAGAGTGCCTCTGGAAAGACAATGATTCTCTACTAATTACCAATTTAATTATTTACTTGAGACTATTAGCTGAAATGCTTCCACAAGAAACTTTAGATTTTTTTGATCCAATTTGTAATTATTGTTCACGAAAAATATTGCTAGACTATATATTCACTATCAATTTTATATTTAAGTTTCACATTATGTTATAATTAAAGTAATTGTCCATAATATTATTAGGGCCAAATTACATATCATTTCAGTCTTTACATATATTTTTTTCTTTTTAAGACAGAGTTTTGATGTTGTTGCCCAGGCTGGAGTGCAATGGCGCGATCTTGGCTCACTGCAACCTCCGCCTCGCGGGTTCAAGTGATTCTCCTGCCTCAGCCTCCTGAGTAGCTGGGATTACAGGCATCCACCACCATGCCTGGCTAATTTTTGTACTTTTAGTAGAGACGGAGTTTCACCATGTTGGCCACATTGGACTCAAACTCCTGACCTCAGGTGATCCTCCTGCCTCAGCCTCCCAAAGAGCTGGGATTACAGGCGTGAGCCACCGCACCCGGCCCCATCTTTATATCTTGATATATGCATGATATTCAACTAAGGATATAGTGTTCCTTTCAATGATATTTCATTAAAAGTGGGGTCTGCAAATTTTTCTGTAAGAAGTCAGTTAGTATTATATGATTTGATATCCGTGTATGATCTGTGTAATAAGTACTTCACTCTGCCGTTGTGGCACAAAAGTAGACATAGACAATTTGTAAATAACAGCATAGCTGTCTTCTAACAAATATGTACGGATAGTCCTTGGAATTATTTATAATGTTACAATGGGTTAATTGGGACATCAACCCCATTGTAATTCAGGGAACACTGTATGGTATTTATAAAACAGGCAGCTAGCTGGGTTTGGCACTCAGCATTTTTTGAAAACCCTTGCACTAAAGTTAAAGTTTCACAGAAACAAAGATGTTTTGTTAAGCTTTTCCATAAGCCCTTTGAAGCAAATATTTGCATATAATCACCCATATCTTTCTCCCACACATTTAATATAAATTTATTTTAAATTTGCTTCTCCAGTGATTGTCGTTTTTTCTCTTGTCGTGCAATATCAACAAGAGAGTGGGTCTTATTTCATTCTGGAGCATTATGAACAAGCTTTGCTTTATGTATTCATAATTGGGCCATCATTCCAAGAAAAAATTTATTTGTATTGTTAAATTTTAACTACCTTGAAGTAACAAAGTGATAAGGAAATACATAATATGAAAAAACATATAGTAGAGTTGCATTGATAATTTTAAATTATTTATGCATAGAAGAAGCAACTGCCTATTCTATATTTAGGGAAAAGACTGCAGGTTCATTATATTGAGGGAAGAAACCATAGGATAAATTACTAAAAACAAAGGAATTAAGTGACCATCAGCAATCTGGATGCTGATTCCAACAGTTTTTTTCTTCTAGTTAGATAACTTTTGGGAGATTCCACTGTAAAAATTTTAAATATGAAGGGGAAAAACAAAAAATCATGACTTACGTCTAATGAATGAATCCTTCCAGGTTATCTGACAATGAAATTCAAATTTTAAAAGCCATATCCATATACTGAAGGCTTCCAATCAAAATATTCAACTCTGTAGGGCAAACTAGGAAAATAATACCAAAGGCAAGCTGACATCTTAAGAAAGAATCTACCATGAAAGTTAGAGATGAAAACAAGAAATAAATGGGTATGCAACAAAATCAATACAGAAAGGGAAAAATTAAAATAAAAAATATTGTCAAGATATGAGAAGATTTTAGAATAATAAAGCAAGATTAGTATATTATTAAAAATTGGGAAAATGTAGAAAACAAAACTCTCAAAAATGAAAAAGAAAAATTAACAGAAAAAATTAATAGAATTTTTGTGCAGGACAGTAGAACAGGAAAGAAAAATAAAATTGAGGAAATAAAAGCAAAAATAAAAAGAGATGGAAAATAGAAAATAACATTTAAGAATATTAGAGGCCTTGTCCACAAATTCCAATAATCAGGAAATCAAAGTTCCAGAAATAAAACTGAAAAAGTTGCAAGGAGATTTTTAATGAAAAAAAATTTTTAATTCTAGAAATAAAAGAAATGGTTTTCTAGGATAAAGATGTCCAATGAAGGATAAGTTGATGAAATTAAGCAAAACAAAGCCCACCTTTTTTTTTTTCCTTTGAGACGGAGTCTCACACTGTCACCCAGGCTGGAGTGCAATGGCGCAGTCTTGGCTCACTGCAACCTCTGCCACCAGGTTCAAGCGAGTCTCCTGCCTCAGCCTCCCGAGTAGCTGAGACTATAGGCAAGCACCACCATGCCCAGTTAATTTTTTGTATTTTTAGTAGAGACGGGATTTCATCATGTTAGCCAGGATGGTCTCGATCTCCAGACCTCATGATCCACCTGCCTTGGCCTCCCAAAGGGCTGGGATTACAGGCATGAGCCATCGCACCCAACCAACATCCACTATTTTTTGGAGGGAGAATAAAATGAATGGAGTTTACTGGAGAAACTTAAAGCCAAAGGCCAGCATGTCATGTGCACAGTTCTCCATTATCTTGTTCAACAGAGGCAAAGCCAGGCTATGCATAGGAACACATAGTGGATTTACATTCATATGGACACGGTGAGGGGGACAATGCACACTGTGGCCTTCTTGGGAAAGTATCAAGATAAATAGCTAATGCATGCTGGGCTTAATACCTAGGTGATGGGTTGATAGGTGCAGCAAACCACCATGGCACACCTTTACCTATGTAAAAAACCTGCACATCCTGCACATATATCCTGGAACTTAAATTAAAATTAAATTTTTTAAAAGAATCTTATTCCTTTATTGTTTACTTTTTCAAATAGAAGATACATTATTTTGAAAATTTAGAAGAAACTTAGGAGAAGAAGAAAACCCTGTAAGTTTTCTAAGCAAATGAGTTGTATTAAAGGGATAGAGGATGAAGAATTAGGATTGCACCAGGCTTTTCAAATGTAACATTAAAAAAGAGAAGTCAATGCAACCATAACCTTAATATCATTAAAATTACTCCCTATCTCTTATTCTATACGCAATCAAACTCTCTAGCTAGTGCCCAGATAGAATATATATATATATATCTGAGGTACACAGTTAGAAAACTTTAGCTTACCAAAAATAATGGAGTAAGAAATTTGAGGCAGGACATGTAACGTTTACTCTGGAAGATAAGAAAAGTAATTTACAAAATTATGGAGAAGGAAAATCTCATTCTGGGTGATGCACCAGTCCACAATGAAGCAGATCACAATCTCTGAGAGATACCCCTAAGACAAAAAACTAATAGAATATCTGAGGTTTTTAGTTACCACATAATAAATGAATGTTTTTGTCATCTGTGAGGTTGGACTAGTGATAAGAATAGAGCAAGCAAAGTGAACAAACATAAGACAAAAACTACACAGAGAAAACAAATCATGCATACAAAAGAAAAGGTAATTATGATTGCATACATGGCTAAATTCAATTTAGTGATAAAATGTTAAAACAGCATATTGATTTAAAGCTATGATAAAAATATTGAGTGCCTCAAACAATGGCAAGAGTGTACCCATGTAGTAAGTTGTGATGACATAAGAAAGCCGAATACTTATTTCCATATTGGGAAGTCAATACATAATAACTAAATTTGAAAAATCCACAAGTTGTCATTGAACTTTATACTTGGAAAGATACAAAGTATCAATTAAAAAAATGAAAAATAATTGGCACTGTAGAAGAGTAAGTACAGGACTCACTAGTGAAAGTTATTTTTCTCCCTGAAATAACTTGATTAAAGGATAATGAAACAATTAGAAAGTTAAGGAAATAAATGTTAAAGAACAGATAGGAAACTCATGTTAAAAAGTGTTTCATGGTAAAATATTGGATTTCATTCTGAAAGAGTATGTATGAAACAAATCTGAGAAGTATTTCAAGTAAGCAAGAGGGAAGAATTTTCTCAAATTATCACTAACCAGATCAGAATCAAAAATATGTAATTTTTCTGATCTTTATATTACACAATACTTGTATTTGTAACATCAAGAGGTTCTTGATTTTCATGTATTATTTTGTTAACACATATGTTTGTGTGTGTGTGTGTGTGTGTGTATATATATATATATATATTTTTTTTTTTTTGACATGGGGTCTCGCTCTGTTGCCCAGGCTGGAGTACAGTGGCATGATCTCAGCTCACTGCAACCTCTGCCTCCCAGGTTCAAGCGATTCTCCTGCCTCAGCCTCCTGAATAGCTAGGATTACAGGTGCCTACCACCACGCCCAACTAATTTTTTATTTTTATTTTTAATAGAGACAGGGTTTCACCATGTTGGCGAGGCTGGTCTTGAACTCCTGACCTCAGGTTATCCACTCGCCTCAGCCTCCCAAAGTGCTGGGATTAGAGGTGTGAGCCACTGTGCCTGGCCTATCAAAGACATTTTTAAGAGAAATTGATTCTTTTTCAGCTGTGAGTTTGTGATGGTAAAGTATACAATGACTATTTCATAATTTCATGACATATTAAGAACTACTAATGTAAACTATAGAAGAATTACTAAACAGTCTGTTTCTTTAAATTAATCATATGCAATGTTTGTCACAATGAATTTTAAACCATCCAATATTCTAGATTCAATAAATTATAGTACCAATTTTGGGTCATGCATGCATTTGTTTCTACCAACAAAATATTTCATTCCAAGAATTCCTAAATTTGAAATGACAATTTGTTAGTTTGGAAAATAAATATTTTATGACCTCCATTAATAATCAGTATAGAAATGAAAAAATAGTTTCTTTTATTATTTATATATATATATATATATGAAAAAATACACACATTCACAGCAATTTCTGTACCAGATATTTTGATGGGGAGTTTCTGGGAAAGATTTTACTGACAGAATTATTTATGATGATAAAAGATAACTGATTTTATCTCTTGCTCCTAGAGGTAATATCAGAATCTTGAATGCTTTGAATACTATGTAATTTGGGGATCTTTAATATTTCTTTTTCTGTTTTAGCGGATTAATTCCTAGTAAAGAGTAATTGGTGAGCAAAATGAAGGGGAATATGTTCTTAAAGTTTTAAACGCTTAAGGCAACTTAAAAGAACCCTTGGATGTTTTTGTATATTTTATTCTTTTTTTCATACATCACATTTAAAAGTAGGTAAAGTTTACAAAGAATTCTGAATAAACATGTATTACATATAATAATCAGATTTTACATAATCTTTAGGGAGAAAGTATTATAATTTATCTCAAGAATAAAGCATGCTCAAAAATCTGTCTAAACTCTAAGTAAAAGTTCTAAGTGCTTCATTTTTCATAACTATGACTGTGCTTCATTAGGGTTGCTACTTTCTAAACATAGTTAAATTTTTGATAGAAAATCAAACGTCATCTCTTTAAAATGGTATTTTATAAAATACCAATAGGATTTACTTAAAATTGTTATAAATTAGTATCCTTTCACAACAAATCAAAATATAAAAATTATTAATATTCTTAAATTTTAAGGCTACGTGTACACAATCCTATTGTTGAAAAATGAAAAATTACAGAAGATATTTATATTTCTTTAAAATTAGAATTCACTGCTGCAGTTTCTTCCAGATGACTATCTAATTCTTGTGATGTAAAAAACTTCATGGACAGTACAGAAACTGTAACAGTTTCAATTTTCTCCCAGCTGGACAACACCTTGCATCAACAGCTGCTCCATCTTTGCCTAGGGGCCAAGAAAGGCCTGGATTTCAAAAGAGAGACAAATTGGCTAAGAGCAATGAATTGATAATCCAGCCATTTGAATTTGGACAGTTATTCACTAACTTGTTTGGAAAAACAGGTTTGGATTCATGTTTTATCATGTAAAATTTAATCGTTTGCTTTGAAATTATTGATCTGATAGAAATTTAATATTGAGATTTAATATTGGGTAACTGGAAAATTATGGGCTAGAATGTTTCACATGTGAATTAGGAACTAGCTAGATTTTTTAGAAGATTACCTGAGACATTTTTAAGAAGTTCATTCCCTCTCTGGACATTTATATTGCCTAAATAACTTAATATTAATTTGATAATATCATTATCAAATTATAACATCATTATCAAGTATTAACATTTATATCAAACAGATAGAGCTTTGGTGTGGACCATAATGATGGCTAGGGCTAAGGAGATGTGGACATTCGGAGTGACATAAGGGAAGCCCAACAGGCCAGACTGATGAAGGGTCTCAGTGAAATCTGAAAACAAAGAAAGGAACTTTAAATTTCAGTTTAACACCTTCCCAACTGATCTATTTCACAATAACTCAGTTAAATCTATATGCCCTTCCCCTCTCCATTTCACCTCCATAATGTTCAGGACCCATGCCAGTAAGTATTCATTTCTTCTGCCAGTGCCCCCGAAATAGTTGAAAGTCTGTGAAAACACAGAGGTGGGGTCGGAAGAAAGCAGCTTTGGTTTCTGCATCTTTAAAATGGGAACATTCCAAATGACTCTATGGTGTTAGAAGTCCAAGAATTGATTACTCTAATGGGAGGAATAGTCGGGTTCCATTTCTTCATTGGGTTTTGGTTACAAATTTGCAACATTTTTATAGTTATGAATCAATATTAATAAAGACAACAAGTACCTATTGAGTCTATAATTTATGTAGAATACATGTTTCTCCTCATTTAGGAGAGATGGCACAGGGTAGTCAGAAAATAAGCGAGTAAATGAAAAATAGTAGTGTTAGCTAGTTAGACTGACGTTAGTAGATGGGAGGAGGTAAGAGAAAGAACGGAAGGCCTGTCACTAAGACAGGCCCTGGCCCACGTTAAGTTCAGCACCAAGACCGCCCAAACTCCACCCTAATGGATGGAGTTTGTGGTAAAGTCTGTGGCCAGCACATCCTGGAGAAAGAAAAACTGAGGCACAGATAAAAATCCCGTACAGTGGCACATGCCCAGTCCATCTAGGCCGTAACCCTGGGTAACTCCATCCTCATTACACAGTCATTTAATAAAATTTACATGTGGTTTTCAATCCCTGAGTAGACTTTTATTAACAAATTATGGGTAAAAATGCGAACAGTTTAATTTTAGTTATGTAACATAAACTACCAATCAAATGACATCATCCTGTCACTCAAACATGGCCCAAGCTTCAACTCCTCCCCACAAACCCCATAAAAGTATTAACACCCTGAGCTCTATAAAGAGTTGCTGATTTCACTTCACAGAAATCAGCCTGCTCTCCCTTTGAGAATGTATTACTATACTTCAATAAACTTTGCTTTATGCTTGCATTTTGGTGCTAGTTTGTAATTCTTTGCTCACTATCACAGGAACAGAGATTGCTGGTCCAAAAGCTCCAGCTTTGTTGATCTCCTCTGTTGAAGGGTCCACCCCAAGGCAGTATCCCCGGTAATAGTAGGACATTTTGTTCATTGACAGAAAAGAACAAGAAATGGTATATTACTTTTATTAGGGCTGCCACAACAATTTACCACAAACTCTACAGCGTAAAACAACAGAAATTTATTATTTTACCATTCTGAAGGCCAGAAGTCTGGAATCAAGGTTGGCCAAGGCCAGGTTCTTTCCAGAGGCTCTATGGGAGAACCCTTCCTTGACTCTTGCAGTTTCTGGTGGTTCCAGGTCTTCCTTAGATTGTGGCTGCATAACTCCAGTTTCTGTCTCCATCTTCTCATGGATCTCTTCTCTTCCCTGTGTTTGTCTAATAAGGATACTTGTCATTGCATTTAGGGATCACCAGGATAAAGCAGAATGATCTCATCTCTAGATTCTTAACTTAATTACATTTGTAAAGACTTTTTTCCCCCAAATGAATTCACATTCACATTGGGGATTAGAATATAAAAATATGTTTTTGGGTGCCACCATTTAGCTCACTACAAAAGGCATGTCCTCTATGAGAGAGAAGAACATAGATGAGAGAACAATTTCCAAAAGGGTGTTCAGGGAGACTGTAAAAGATCAAAATAGTAATTATTTATATTAAAGCATTTTATCATCATAAGAAAGAATAATCCAGGCTGCGAGCTTGGGCAAGTTTCTCAAATGCTATAAAATAATATTCAGGGCTTTCAACTGGAAGCGTGGCTGGGTGTTGGAGACATATTTAGTATGGAAATGTGTTCATATCATACTTAAGCACAAGGTGAATTTGGCGATTTAGGCTGGGCTATTTCAGGTAGGAGATGCAGGCATTTAAGAGTACATCATTAGAATTCTCTGTGAGAGAATCCAATGAAGGCACGTGAATCCCCTTTCCAGAGCAGATATAGGTGCAAGGATGAATGAGAATAAACTTTAATTGCTATCGAGTTTATATCCAAGATATTAATTATATCTATTATGGGAAGTCAAAAAAAGAAGTTCTCAAATTCTCTTGAAAAAGATACTGCACTTCACAAGCATCTCACGGCATCCTCTACCGACTATCTCCGCGAGCAGTGGGGAAGCGGGTGGTTCTCAAAGACTGGATGCTAATGATGTTCTTACCGCTCCATTCCACTTTTCTAAAAATAGGTCAGATGAATTATTTTCTTTCGGCTAGCTTTTTTATTGATTATTTTCACTCCCATTGTTTTAAGTTTTGTATCACATCCGCAGTCATATTTGATAGTTTGTATTTTAAAGTTTGAATGTATTTGTGAGGAGTTAACTGACACTCTCTGATGATGATGTTAGAACACGATTCCTCTTTATCTGGGGTTATTTCTCGTCCTTATTACTACATGTTGACCAAGGCATGAGTTACTTCAGAATCACTTGTATGAGACATTGGGATTTGCTGATTTAGGTGTCTTAGCTCCCAAAGAAGAAGAGCTGTCACCAGGGGACACAAAAAGTGCTCACAGAACTGGAAGTTGACATTGCCACATGGACAATTAGTGCTTTTGTGCCACTCAACGAAAAGGAAAATAAAGGAGATGACTGAATTAATTGTAACATTTGATTCTGACTATTAGAGGGGTGGGAATTGGTTTACTATCACACACTGAGATTATATATGAATTTACTCTGGACTGAGGATTCATTGGGGGACGAGTAGCAAGTAGTAATTTCATGTCTAGTAAAATAGATCACTAACACATGCAGGTGTGATTACTGATACTTTAGACTCTCTAATAATTGAAGTCTGGTTCTCAATGATTTACCTGTCAGGTGAATTGTGGGTAAAGGCAAAAAGAATATGGAATAGGTAGCAGAAGAATGAAATGGCAAGTACCAAAATTTGACCATTTGACCAGATTTTGCAAAAGGTATGAGTGAATGAGGACTGGAAGAGTTAGGTGTCTTTACAAGCACTTTTTTTCTTGTTCCTATTACTCTGCCATCTAAAGTGCTTACATTAATAGTGGTTAAACATATTTATAGTTACTATTAAATATCATCTAATGGCAGAGTTTGAAAGAGGTTTGTGGCTAAATTAAAAAAAAAATTCCTCCAGGATGGGTAAAGTGTGATATGGGGGTGTTTGCATTGTTTTTTGCAGCAATCGGTCTTTAGTTATGTGAACAGTACTTATACCATATTAGGTGGTTGCAATACATTGCTATTGTCTTTATTAGGGACCTTGAATATGAGTAAAATTTGTGTGTGGATTCACACCTGACAAGCTATGCTGAGTTTTCTCTTACCATCCTAGCATGACTATCAGACCCTCTTTAGTGTCTTAGGCATCATAGAGAAGAATCTAAGAGGTACATTTCCCAGAATCCTGTCCTTGTATGGACCTGGGTTAGTGTTTTCCAATGCAGCCACTTTCTCAAGATTTGGGAGGCAGAAGAGGAGAGGACATTTTTTTCTGAAAGCAGATGCAGCCAGATGAGTAGACAGATGTGACACCTTTAGAACCACCCTAATCCCCTGCTCATGGAGATGACTAGTAGAGGATGCTCCAATGCTGGTGAAATAAAGCATCTTTTTAAAGAGACTTTGCGAACTTTTTTCACATTCCTATACTAGATATAATTAACATATCGGATATAAACTCCAAAGCAATTAAAATTTATTCTAATCATTTTTGTGTCTTTACACAAACTATTTTAAAATATTAAAGATGTGGACATAGCCTATGTTGCACATATATTAGCTACATCCAATCTGTTCCTTAATATTGTCATAATTAATGAAATCATGACTTTTAATATTTTACAACTGTGAAGAAGATATAGAAATTTGAATACATTAAACTGTATGCTCTGAACAGATATAGACTTTGGATGAATTAGTAGGTAATTTTGTTGTTTATAGACAATAGCAATATCAAGGATCTTTTTTGTCTTTGTTATTATTTTTGGCTTAAATATTTGTTTTCTTGTTTATACTAACCTACCTTAAAACTTCTGAAATAAGTAATATAACAGAATCTCATTTAAACATAGGTAACTTGAGTCTGGACATTTTATTTTATTCTTTATTCTGTGTTGTTTTCCTCTGTCTTTGTTAAAATCTCTGGAGTCTGAATGTATGACTGGGCTTCTTTATGAATACAAATATTTAGCATGTCTAGGGCAGTCTTTCTAGTCCCTGTATTTAGAGAGAGCTACCTCACTGTGGATAGAGATGCTGTCTTTTAACCCCATAAAGTTATTTCCAGTTGGCAGGTAATAGTGAACTGGGTTTAACCTTGTCTAAAGAACATCTGCTTCAGATCATTTTAATTTATCATGAAGACACAACTATTCTATATTATCTACATCAAATAAAATCTCTGTGCAAACCAGAAATAAAGACTCAAATAGAACGATTTTCTATTTAACAGTCAACCATATTTGCACTCAAACTCAGCCTTTTATAAGTTAGACCTCTGTGTTCAACTCTCTATTTGGTATGACTGTATGCTTGTCCTTGTAGAACTTGATCGTATTGTAAAAATAAATCTGTTAATTGGAAGGTTCAAGAGGGGCTTCAGAAGAATTAATCACCATCTTTCCCCTGAAACATTGTTTTTTGTCCAAATCTAAATAAGCATTACTTGAGGTCGTTAACCAGAAAGTCTTTTTTGGAAATGGACTAAGGTGATTTGTTTCCATTTTTTTATTCTTTATATTCTATCTAGCTCCTGTTGGTTGAAAAAAGTGGCATATGATTGCATACGAGTGTTTTTCTACTGTCTTACTTTTTTTTTTTTTTACTATTCTGGGAAATGTTAAAAGAATAATTTCAAATAGTGAGAATTAATTAGGGGTCTCAAAGCAAATAACATTTCACTGCAATAGCTTAGTTCATATTAGTGGCAAGAGAACGCTTTCAAAAAAATTATACACTAATCAATCTGTACTCTAACTCATTTTAGTCATTGTAATTAACGAATTAAGTCAGGTAATTAAATTAATTACTTACTCTATTTTTTCTATGACCTTTTACCTTCTACTGTTCTTTAGTGAGGTTTCTATTCTAGCATACCTTTTCATAAGTATGTATGTAAAATAGATATATATTAAGTTTTCTATTATTGATGTATTTGCCAGGATTCTCCAGGGAGACAAAAACAACAATAGGATATGTGTGTGGGGGACAGGATTGGTCTGGGACACACACACACACACACACACACACACACATACATATGGAGAGAAAGAAAGAGGAAGATTTGTTTTAAAAAAATTAACTCATGTAATTTTGCCAGCTGGCTGGCAAGACTGAAAATTGCAGAGCAAGCCAGAGGGCTGGAGCTCCAGGGGAAACATTGTAGCTTGAATCAAAAGGCAGGCTGCTGACAGAATTCCCTCTTCCTGGGGCAAGCTCAGTCTTTTTCTCTTAAGATATTCAACTCATTGGATGAGGCTCACCTGATATGGTTTGGATTTGTGTTCCTGTCTAAATCTCATGTTGAATTGTAATCCCCAATATTGGAGGACGGACCTGGTGGGAGGCGATTGAATCATGGGGGTGGATTTCCCCCTTGCTATTCTCATGATAGTGAGTGAGTTCTCACGAGATCTGGTTGTTTAAAAGTGTGTGACACATTCCCCTTCACTGTCTTCCTCCTTCTCTGGCCACATAAGATGTGTTTGCTTCTTTTTTGCCTTCCGCCATGATCATAAGTTTCCTGAGGCCACCAGCCATGCTTCCTATACAGCCTGTGGAACCGTTGAGTAATTAAACCTTTTTTCTTTATAAATTGCTTAGTCTCAGGTAGTTCTTTATAGAAATTCAGGAATGGACTAATACACTCACATTACTGAGATTAATCTATTTACTTAAATTCTATTGATTTAAATGTTAATCACATCCTAAAAGTAGGTTCACAGCAACATCCAGGCTGATATTTGGCCAAATATCTATGTACCGTGGACTGGCCAAGTTGATACATAATATTAACTATCATATTAATTTGTATTTATTCTAGAAATATTTATATTTAACATTTTAAGAAATTGGTAATGCATATTAGCTATAGAAGATTTTCACAAATTTAAAATATATAAATTTTAAAAAATGAAAGAATTCTGGTATGTCACTAATATCCAGAAACAAACCGATTTTAGTGTGTGACTCCTTGCTTACCTACATACATACATACATACAGCCACATAGAACAAGAAAGGAAATAATATAAGTTAAATAACAGGCACAGAAATTTCGATTTTCAGGAAATCTTTGGAAAAGTTGCATATTTGAATGGTGTGTGTGTTTTTTAGTTTGGTGCCTTAGTTTGATGACTTTCCAGGGTGTCTCAAAAAACCTGAGAAGTTACTTGAACTGGTCCAATGGCATTTGCGATGATGATGGTTTCCTCAGAAAAAAATACCCTTCAGCATTGAAAAAGGTAAAAATGACATTCATCAAGCAGTGTAACAAAGGAATTTGGTCCATAGTTGAAGTTGTAAAAGGAGAATAAGTAAATTTTCTTTTTAATGGAAATCCCAACGAATAAAGGTGCATTTGCCTTGGGGCTATACAAAAGTGACAGCCATCACTAGGGCATCTGTGGCAGGGCTTAAGTGTTTATCTGGGCAGTCCTGAGCTCCTGCATATTTTTTTTTTTTTTTGAAATGCTGAGTCCTTCCTCCTGTTCTCAGTCATGCCCAGAAACAAAGATTAATCACCATGGTAACCATGATGGAGCTGCGTATTTAGATAGATAAATATATAATTTGATAGATAAACAGACTAGTAATAGAAATTTGCATTTAGATATTTGAAAAGGAATTCAAAAGGATTGTGAACAAAGGCACTGGTCCTGTATTCCCAAACACTTTAATTTTAAAGGAGTTTAAAATTTCCTCTAGGCCCATTATTTGTTTTGTGTGTGTGGGCAGGGGAGAGGAAGGAGGGTAGGGCAATATATTGAGAAACTTCTAATAACGAAAACAAAGATCTTATAATGGACCTGTTTTGTTCACAGAATACCGAAGTCCTGGTCCTGGTACTTCTGTGTAAAATATGACAATAAGGATTTATAGTGGCTGGTCTAAAAACTTTCACAATGTGACTTAGGGCCTCGTAAGTGTGGAGAGAACTTAACGTTTTTTTGGACGAAGAGCTATGGTCATAGTTGAGAAGCTTGCATGATGTGTGAGCACATGGCTCAGTGGCGCTCACATGCACCAGATGAGCTTAGAAATATGGCATGATTCAGAAGGATGAGGAGGCATATGGTGAATCCAGTTAGGCCATACCAATTATGATAATCCTAGAGTTGTGATTGTATATTACCAGGATAGTGAGAGTGCAGCTTGAAGAAGTCATTTTAGGCTCTATGACTAGGCATGAAAAATTGCTTTCAAAGGTTGGATTTATATAAAAGTTACAATTATGCGCCTGGGTCTTGGTTGTTGGTACTAGAAGATTCCCTTTAATACATAAAGAGTGAATTTCTGAAATAAATTTCTCAATGCCAGTTTGCACCTTGGTTAACCTAGAGATGATGGGTGATAATAGCTGGAGTAGGGGAATAGGATGCATATGTTTCATGGAGTGGTAGGAAAAGGGAAAACACAGGGCAATTTAAACAAATTTTGCACCTGCAACCATGGTGCTCATGGTTAAATAGGAGGAACAAATCATTTAAACTAGTTATTTTGGGAATGGAAAATGTATTGTTAATAATTAGGTTAGACAATGGGTGTTAATGGGGAAGTTTGGGCACACTCATTAAGACAATTTTTGCATGCATCAGCTGGCATGCTCATGAAATGGGAGATCTCGCATGTTTCATGGAATTACTCAAGGCTTTGGTTCTGTGTCATATTGGACCTAGTAGCGCTGTCAGGACTGTGAGGAGTGATGACTTCCCAGGCATTTATCACCTAGTGAATTGTCTTTTTAGTTACATCTACATAGGCCTCATCTTTAACAAAATTGTAAATTTCTTGAGAGAAGAGGCTATGCTTAGTGCTGTATATGGCATAGTAATATATACATTAAAGATGAAATCAAAAGAAAAACTAAAGTGGGAGGGAGGATTACTCAATTTGTGATATTGAAGCTAAATGTAAATCTTCCTTTTGTTACTCTTTCCATCTTGTATTCATTAAAAGGAAATATGATATAACAATAAAACATCAAAAGTACAGAAAGTTACCAATTTAAATCACATAGTATGCTAATTACTTTTTAAGTTTTGAAATTGTCTGTTTACAAAACACTTTGCCAATATTTTGGTATTAGTTATAACAATGGTTTTAATTTCATCTTTATCCTCATCAATTTAACAGAAAAAAAGTAAATTAGCAAACTAGTAAAAGAGTTAAAATATTCAAGGCTGAATTTTTCACAAACATTCCAGCCACACTTTGCAGACATTATTTTCCCCCAAATATAGCAAATAAATATATGCCAAAATACAGGAGTGAAACTTACCAGATGTCCAACAGCCTCAAGCCAGACAGATATTGGTCAAAACTTGAAAATTCACAGATGTAAGACAGTCTGTTATTCTGCTTCAAGCACTATTTTTATTTCAGTAAAGGCAGTGAAGTGTATGACATTAGATAAAAATATTTATATTTTAATTGTGTAATTCTGATTAAGTGAAAACATTCAAATTATGGTTTATATGTATCATTTCATTAATTCTATTTATGCCATTGTATCCATAGTTATATGGATGGAATAAAATAATTCATAGACCAAATAACATTTAAATATACATACTTTTAAATGCTATTACTTTATTTCTTAAATCAACTTTATGCTTTAAACAGTGTGTTTTATAAAAATACAAGAAAATACATTAACGAGCTTTTAAAATATAAGTTATAATTTTTTAAATTAACATGCGTTTAGTGCCTACTGTGCAGAAAGCATTTTGCTAAGCATTCTGCCAGGACAACAGAATCTTGGTTCTTTCTCTCATAGAGGTTACATTCTATTAGAAAGGTGTCTCACATTTCCTGTCCCCTTGAGGGAATAGAACAATCATGTATTTTGCTTCTTGGATTAATGCTTTAAAGGAAACACATAAAGAGCTGAGATGAAGAATAATGGTGGTGGAAGGGGCAAGAGCTACTCTAGATAGGCTGGTGGGAAAGATCTCTTGATGAAGAGATGCCATTTATTCTAAGACTTAAGGAGAGAGATGCTGGTCACGTGAGGACTGGGGAGATGGAGCATTACTGGCTGAGGAAACACCATGTGAAAGGGCCAGGAAGAAGAAAAGAACTCTGTGTGTATGAAGAATTGAAAACAGTCTTTTGTGGCTAGAGCAGAGTAATGTGAAGAGACATGAGAGAGCTTGGGTAGATGGGGCCATGCAAAAAAAGCACAAGTTTATTCTAGATGAAATGAGAAACCGTCGAAATAGTTCAAGAAGCAGAATGCTGTGATCAGATCCACACTTTTAGGAGTGTTACTGTTCTGTAAATTAGAGAATAAATGACTGGATATAAGTAAAGCAATTAATCCATTTATAAGAGTGATAAATTAATAGCGGCGAAGGATGATTTACAGCTAAGACTAGGTGTGGCCAGTGGAGATGAAAGAAAATGAGAATAAGAACAGCAGAATATTGTATTGCTGCATTTAGAAGATGAAACTGTTAGGGACTGTTGAATGATAAGTTGGGAGGAATGTTATGAAGGGAATGGAAAATTATGGATTATTTCTTAGGTTTCAAGTTTCAGTAACTAAGAGGACTGCAATGTTCTTTATTGAGATAGTAAAGATTGAATTGAAGGAGTAAGTTTGGATGGAGAAAAATAGAATTAAGATAGAGTTTTGGGCAAGGTCATTTTGAGAGATATTTGAGGAATCCACAGGGAAATGTCAGTGCAAAATTGAATGTGCAGGCCTGTGTGTGGAAGAATGTTCTGTTCTGGACCTATATTTTTGGGAGTCATTATTACTGTGATAATAAAATACTTCAATTCATATCAATTGATGACATCATTCAGGAAAAAATCTTGAAATAGCAGAGAATCAAAAAATTAGTTCAAGTATGCAGAATATTTGTTGGTTGGATAGAGCATTTGAATCACATCATACTGATTTTGTCCAACTAACATTAAAAATGTAGATAGAAGAGAAAAAATTTCAAACAGTTTATTTGAAATAACTGTTTGGTAAATAGTCTCATTTAATTTTTTCAAAGCCCATTCAAGTTATATATTGTACTTAACAGATAATAGTTGTTGAGAATAACTAACATTCATATAGATCTTACAAGCTTCAAAATGTACTTCTAAGCATTAAAAAACTGATGCATCAGGGCTTTGTAGCTCATGTCTGTAATCCCAACACTTTGGGAGGCCGAGGCAGGAGGATGACTTGAGACCAGGAGTTTGAGACCAACCTGGGTAACATAAACAGGAATAATATTTACATGAGTCTCTTAATAATTCATATCATCAAGTGTGGTAATGTATAAAACAGTACTAATGGTTCATAGAAAAATCCAGTTTTTGTGTTGAATACGGGTACTATTCTAATAGCCAGACCCCATCTCTTTAAAAAACAGTTAGCTGGGTGTAGTGTTGCATGTCTGTGGTCCCAGCTACTCAGGTGGCCCAGGAGTAATTGCTTCACGTTAAGAGTTTGAGGCTGCAGTGAGCAATGATGGTTCCACTGCACGCTAGCCTGGGCAAAGAGTGAGACCCTATCTCCTAAAAACAAAACAACAACAACAAAACTCAACAACAGCAAACTTTTTCCATAAGGAAATTAAATAAATTAAACAAAAAACACTTCAGGACATCTGCCCCTGACCAATTTCCCCAATTTTCTTTGGGGAAAGAAACTTGCAGAAAGAATTGGTTACTTCTAAATGTGGGATTTCTAGAAAGAGGGTCTAAACCATGCAGCATTTCCTGAAATATAGACCCTTGATCGAAATATAAGAGTCAGGCAGGCCAAAAACCCCTGCACAGCAAAGGGAAATTACATGACCAACAGTATTCTTGAATGCAGTAAATTTTACTGAGTATTTTGTACATGCCGGGCAATTTTCTAGCCACTTGGAATACATCAGTAAATAAATTAGATATAGGCCCTCACTGTTTGGGAATTGATATTCAAGAGGGAGAAGGCACTGAAAAATACTCATAATAAACAAATACATTATACAACATGTATAAAAGGGAATTAAAGGATAGAATAAGGTAAGAGAGATGTGAAATACCAGTGTAGAGGTGGGGCAAGGTTGGTGCAGACACTGTTGAAGAGAGAAGATTTGAGCAGAGAAGTGCAGGATGTGACTAGTTAGTCAAAAAGGTACCTCTCAGAAGATGCTCCCATAATGAGAATGGCTCAGGCAAGTGTACCAAGGCAGATGCATGTGCAGCAAGTTTACTAACAGCAGGAAGCTATTTTGACTATAGCAGGTGATAAAGGAAGGGGAAATGTTGTGGTCAGTTAACATTAAGCTTGTGGTAGATCTTTGAACAAGGGTGTGAGATCTTTTGAGCTACATTTCAGAAGTATTATTTGAGTTAGTGTGTTGACTATAGACAGGAGAGGGTGAGAGTAGAATCAGAAAGGCTATTAGTGGTATAGCAGCCCTATTCAAAGATTTATGCAGAACTGTTTCTGCAGATATGCCCTGCCAGAAGACAGTTGACTTGGACTTGGTGTGATTTTTACCGTGGTAGCCAATAATTTAAACATTGGTAAACTAAATGGTCAAGTCTCAGCTTTCATTAAATCAATCAACAACATTTGGCAAGTTGATAACTACATTACCTTTGAAACGGTTCATTAACTTAGAATTTCCACTGCTTCATCAGCTAATCATTCTCCTCCTTTCCTGTTCCTCTTCATTCCCAAGCTTTCAACCTTGACATATCCAAGAAATTCCTTTCTTTTCTTACTGTGCTTACTACTTGAGTAATCTTATCATGCCCCATAGCTTAAAATACTACCTGTGTGCTCAGAGTCATACAGGTAGTATTTATATGTCCGTTTTTCTAAATGGTAGATGACTATAACTACTTAGAAACATTTTATGGAGGTGTCTACTAGGCATTTCAACCTTAAAATATTGATGTTGGAACTCCTGATCTTTCCTTCTAAATCCTCTTCTACTACCCATACAAACACAATAAACACAATAACTCCAACCTTCCAATTCATGAGTCCAAAACCAAAAATAAAACTTCAGATTAATATGTGATTTATTGCACATTTAGATAACCAGCAAATTTTAGACACTAAACTTTGAAAATACATCCATTTTCTGTTCACATGTAAATTAGGAGATGAGAGGAGATGAAATTCAACATAGAAACTAAATAATCATAGCAGATTTTCTATAGAAATAGGAGAGAGGGCACAGTAGATTAATACAAACGCAGGTTGGTGGATAAATGTGGTTCCAAGAATGTATATAATCATAATAGTATTTACTCATTTTGCATATTTAATTATTTTTTCAGAAGTGATAATGGATTTGCATCTATTTGTTTCAATTTTTTTCTTAAATTCTTCAAATATTTCTATTGGCATTCACTTAGATCTCTAAAATAAATACTATGTTTTAACAAACTTAGCTATCACAAAGTGAAATTTGCTGTAAGCTTCATTACTTTTCATTTTATTGACTCCAGGTGAGAACAACAACAAAAAAAGAACTAGAGGTGAAAGTATACCTATCAATTTGTTTTGCTGCTATAAAAATTACCATAAACATATGGGCTTAAGCAAAATAAATATTATCTTAGAGTTTTTCAGGTAAGAAGCCCCAAATGGGTCTCACAGGACTAAAATCAACAGGTCACTTTTTTTTTCTGCCTATTGTAATACGCTAAGACATCTCCGTGAGTGGAAAATAGACACAAGGTTGAGTTTCAAAATGCTGCCACCTCTAACTGCCTGCTACAAGCATCAGTGAAGTCCTAGATGTATGGTGAAGATGCTAAAGCAAATATTTTATTAATCTGTTCTCAGACTGCTATAAGGACATACGTGAGAATGGGTAACTCATAAAGGAAAGAGGTTTAATGGACTCACAGTTCTACATGGCTGGGAAGGATTCACAATCATGGCAGAAGATGAAGGAGGAGGAAAGGCTCATCCTACATGGTGGCAGGCAAGAAAATGTATGCAGGGGAATTGCCCTTTATAAAAGCATCAGATCTCATGACAGTTATTCACTATCATGAGAACAGTATGGGAAAAACCCACATCCATGATTCAATTACCTCCCACTGGGTCCCTCCCATGACATGTGATGATTATGGGAGCTACAATTTGGGATGAGATTTGGGTGGGAACACAGCCAAACAATATCAACTATCAATATTAATTTCAGATATGTTTTAAGTAGTGACTCAAATGGTATCAATTTTTAAGATAAAATAAACTTAAAACTTTCAACGGAAATTATATGACACAAATAAAATAGGTACTAGTATAATTACAACTAGAAAGATCTTTGGGAAAAAATATAGTTCAACTCTCCCATTGTATAAATGAAAAAGATTCAGAGGAATAAGTGGCGTTTCCATGATAATACATCTGATTAATGACTGAGTAAAGATGAGAACCAGGGCTCATTTCTATCTTTAATGCTGGGGACAGTCCTTAAATCTGGCTAAACTCAACAGCCTCCAAAAAATAAATAAAAATACATTACACCCTCTGCTTCTAATAGTTTCTTTTCATTTATTTCTGTTATTGTGAATTTTCCTATAAGATTATCTTACATCCATACATTTTTATTAAAAACAGAAAACTTTCAAGGTACTTGCATGATCCTTATTATTTTATATAATGTGATGATGAAAATAATTGCATTTAAAACAATAATTTCTCTTTCTGAAGGAATTAAATGATTGCTTTAGAGTTTAGATTTTTTTTCTATTTAAGAAGCTCATTTCTAATAATCATTTGGAAAGAGACAATTAATGGGTTTGTTTTTGAATTGCTATTTGAAACTATTTTAATTTGAATGGATTCTGGCCTCCTGTTCTGAAATGAGGCAGGGCACAGAGATAAACATCTTAAGGTATATGAAATTGACTTGTGATGATTTTAGATGGTAAGATACCTTTAAGTCTTATTTCACTTATGCTTATGATCTCTAAATGTGTTTGAAGTTCCGTTTTTGTTTTTGATAAACTCACCAGTTTAAATTGACAAAGATAAAGTAATTGTATAATTTAAGTTGTTATAGTTATTGGATTAGTTATTTCTCTATGTGAAAGCTTGACTCAGAGAACTCTGTGATGCCAAAAACCTAGCAGAGGAAGACAACCAGTTATTCTGTCACTTGATAATGGCAGCTTTTTATCCTCCAACCCAAGGTCAATTGCATTGTCTTTGGTGAAAGATAGAGAACTATCGCTAAAAAAGATTTTACTGGGCAGCAATTCTGAATCTATTTCCTCTGATGAAATGTCGATAGCTTTCTAGGACAAAATGTAGTTTTTCTAGAAACGAAGGTGAAATTGGTTTGAAAATGTACTCCACAAATCAATTCCTTTCAATATAAAACATTTGAGAAAGAAAAATTAACAAGTAATCCAATATGCTGTTATGTTTCCATCTTTTTATTTGAATTCATCAAACATATTACATTTTCTCCAAAAAACCAATTTAGGGAAGCATTGATGTTCTTCTAATGGTTTTAGAGTCATAAAATGTGTAGTAAAAAGTCAGCTGCTGTGAACCTGGAAATCCTTGAAAACTAACAAGAGATAAGATCTTCTGAAAGAACAGACTCACAGAGCTATATATGTTATGAGGCATTATAGAAAACAAATAAGAACATGAAAAATACTTATGTACTCAAAATAATACAACTTGACAGATGATAGTTTAGGACTATGGTCAAAAATATATTTATAATATATTGAATCATCAAATTCTGACTTCTTAATTTCTTTTGGCAATACCATTCAATTGTATGAGAGCTTTTTTTGTTCACTTTTTAAAAATGCAATACTTTTTTTCTCAAAATAGTAAAAATGTAACCCAACCAAAACAGAAAATATAAATATTAATTTTCCTTATGAAAATGTTAAACCCCTTATTAGATTTTTTGTAAGTGGTATTAGTAGCTAGTCAATTCCCTGAAAATTGTTTGCAGTGCAGATGGTCACACACTATAAGGAATTTCCTGTGTAATCCAGTAAGTTCCTGAAGGTAGAGTTGCACTGAAATGCATATGTGAAAACTGATTTCAAATGGAAACATAGTGAGGAAAAGAAGGAAAGTGAGCAAGTAAAGGAAATGCAGGGGAAAAAAGCCACAAATAAGCCTAGATTATCCCTGTGCAGAAAGACAGATCCCAGGCACCAAGAAAAGCTCAAGTGATCGTGGTCCCTAAATCAGCACAGTAGAGATGGGTGGTTAAATAGTGAGCCACTCTTTTACAGCATACACAGACCCACCAGGATGACCCTCCTAAAATAGCAAGAGGTTTTTGGAGGATTATTTCAAGTTCCAACAGCTGGCAAGGGTGATTCTCAGCTTCATGGGCTCCACCACCCCTAAGTGGAAGGAGCCTTTGAAGGCCTGGTGACCTAATTTATTTCCTTGCACAAACATGTTCTGTAAAAATTTGCAGATGTGTTGAGGCTTCTGGTACACCATGAACTGATATGAACTAAAGGATTGGATTCATGGAAGCAAGCCCCTGGACTTGGGCAGGAGGGACCTGAGTGTCTATTCTACCTGCAGAGCCACTTGGATCCCCACTAATGTTTACACACATGAAGCTCATGGAGCAAGCTCAGTTCTATCATTTGGCAAAAAGAGAAGGATTCAAATTCATAAGCGAGTGACATCCAGCCCTTTCTGGAAGGAATAACAATTTTCAAGGCCACCACCAAAGAAAAGGAAGATGTCATAAGCATCAGTGTTTTGCTTACCAAAAGAGGGAGGGCACAACATGGGTTGACCTAGCATCTCTGCTTCCATATAACCCAACTTACAGAACAGACTTCTGTGAATGTCCCGACCAATAGTCCTTCATCTTCTGCCTCAAGAAAATCTTTTTTCTTCTGTCAAGGTTAGTTTTTCTCCATAGTGCAGCATATTGGTGTAGTTTCATATTATCTTTGAAAACATTGGTTTCCAAACATCTGTTTTCAGAAATGAGAACCACATGGACCTCTTGTAGAAGCCAATCCCGTCATCAATCTCATGTGGCTGACGCCAGTAACTTCAAATGCCTGAACTTTTCCATGTCCATCCTGTAGCAAAGAACTGGGCCTGTTCTTCTAGCCAGGCAGCTGAACAGCTGTTTCTCATCCCACCTGTATAGTGTTTACATTTACCTCTAGTCTTGATCTGTGGAGTGACAGTCAAGCTGATACCTCAGCCTGAGAAGGTGAAGTCATATGGTAGTACTTCCTCAGAAAGATCTGTGGCACTGTTAAAGATAATGTCGAAGACGACTGATTAGAGGTTAGCAATCTAACTCTCAACCCCTAAGGCTGAAGGAGAGGAATAGAGCCAACATGGTAAGTCAGTCTTGGGTGGATATGAATTTCCTTCACAGCCTGCAATGACTGTTTTTTTGTTATCCTAAGTAAATATATTCACTCCTCATCTTTATCCAAATAATGCAGTTTGCAAAAGAGACATTGACCTTAGCAAGTAAAAACAAATAAAGAGCTCAGCAAGTATAGTCATTTCAAGGACAAAATGTATTATGTTTTGTCTTTTAGAGAGACTGCCTGTCTTCCCTGTGGCAGTAACCTTAAGTCTCAACTCATCTGATTTAAGGGAACAGAATACAGTGATGTGAAAATGTATGCCCACCTAATATGATGGGAACTCCACTTAGCAAAGTGGGAAGTCACTATATCTAGCTATTCTTGAGTGTTAGAGTGGCTCCTCTCAGTATTAGACCTTCCAATTTACTAAGAAAATTAATATGTTATTTCTGTCTCCACTATGATAGGCTTCGGCAGTGTAGTGGTCTCTTTTCTAAAGGGAAGAATATTCTATCAGGGAACAGAAAAAATGACTTCCTTGAGCTAGAAGTTGAATCTTTCACTTGGCCTTTTTGGGGTTCGTATATCATTGAATTAACTGGCAAAAAAAGGGAGTTACTGTATTTGCTAGGAAGATTGCTCCTAACTTATAAGGATAAATTGGTTTGCTACTATACAGTGGAAGTAAGAAGTATTATGTCTAGAAAGCAGAAGATCCTACTCCTACTTATACACTAACATATACTAAAACTATTCTAAAATTTAAAATGTATTAAAAACTTATATATAACTTGTCATGAACCATTGAACTTAGTGATATCTGAGGCCTATATTTTGCTAATGCCCCATTAATATTATATAACTGACTTTCATTCCACAGTCAAAAAGGAATTTAAATTTCTAAATAGCCAATATTATTTTACTCTCAGTCAGTTACTATGTCTAATTTACCATATGGGGTGTTTCAGGGCATTTGGAATTTTGATCCTCTCTTTGAGACTACATCTGATAAGGGCATTCTAGAGAATACCTTGAATTTGTTATTGACACTATTTTGATGATAGTGTAACAGCAGTCTTCTTGATATCTGGATATCAAAATGAGGACCACACAGCTGATATAATATTTTATTATATAAATAAAGAATACTGAAATAACTGATTTTTAAAACTCTGCTTTAATGTTCATAATCCATTATATGGGTCAGTGAAGGCTACCTATTTGTGATTTATGAAAAAATGAGATAAGAATCCACTGAATAAAGACCAGAGGATATTGGTGAAGTTTCATATACATATCTAAAAGTACAGTGAAAGAGGCAGAGATGAGCTACACTTTTGTACTCAAGGACATAATCACTGAAGTACCTTTTACTTTTATCATGGTGAAATGTCTATATGTGGACTGATGAGTAATGATTACAAGTGTCCCAGCCATTCCTAGGACCCTGCTAACTCAGTTCATTAAACGTATTCAGCTAATGAAGCTGAGGTTATAAGATCAATCACCCCATGGTCTTTATATTTGCCTAACTGCCATCACATGAAATCATTTAGAGAATTCAGACTGGAAATATATAGGCATCTTAATTAGGTCAGTCCTCTGCCATCAGAAAACAGCGTCTCTTTCAAAGCATTTTGTACAAAAGCCTTTTACAGTTTGTTTCATTATCTACCATTCAAACATCTGATTTCTCCTAATTTAGATTTTAATATGCTGATCTGAGTACCAAACTATATCATTATTAGAAGTGTTAAGGTCACATAAACTTTTAACGGAAGCAACATATTTATCCCATTTTCTGGTTTTTTTTTTTTTTTTTTTTTGCTTTTGGTTAATTTCCCATTTGTCCTTCAGACAATGAAAAATGAGGCAGCCAAAATAATATTTAGGATTCTGAACTATGCATATATTTTCTCAATTATTGATATTTCTGCTTGTTTTGATACAGAGTATTTAAACATTGGCATGTGTGTAAAGGCTATAGCTAATAGCTAGATAGCAATACAGGGAACATGATTTTTTAAAACCACAAACTTATGCTGATGAGTAATCAACTCATGTAATGGATACACAGGTATTCATATACCAAAAACCCAATCCAAGTTCATCCTAAAAAAATAAAATTTGGGGAAGCTTGGGCAAGATGGGTGAATAGGAACAGCTCCGGACTGCAGCTCGCAGAAAGACCAACACAGAAGGCAGGTGATTTCTGTATTTCCAACTGAGGTACCCAGTTAATCCCACTGGGAATGGTTAGAAAGTGGGTGCAGCCAACAGAGGGTGAGCAAAAACATGGTGAGGTGTCGCCTTGCCCGGGAAGCACAAGGGGTAGGGGAACTCTCTCCCCTAACCAAGGGAAGCCATGAGGGACAGTGCTATCTGGCCCACATACTATGCTTTTCCCATGGTCTTCACAATCCACAGACCAGGAGATTCCCTCAGGTATCTACACCACAAGGAACCTGGCTTTCAAGCACAAAACTGGGTGGCAGTTAGAGCAGACACAGAACTAGCTGAAGGAGTTTTTTTTTTGTACCCCAGTGGCACCTGGAATGCCAGTGAGACAGAACCATTCACTCCCCTGGAAAGGGGGCTGAAGCTAGGGAGTGAAGAGGTCTTGCTCAGCGAATCCTATACTCACAGAGCCCAGTAAGCTAAGATCCACTGGCTTGAAACTCTCACTGCCAGCACAGCAGTCTGAAGTCGACCTGGGATGCTTGAGCTTGGTGGGGGGAGGGGGGGTCCACCATTACTGAGGCTTGAGTAGGCGGTTTTCCCCTCACAGTGTAAACAAAGCTGCCAGGGAGTTCAAACTGAATGGAGCCCACTGCAGCACCGTAAAGGTGCTGTAGCCAGACTGCCTCTCAAGATTCCTCCTCTCTGGGCAGGGCATCTCTGAGAGAAAGGCAGCAGTCCCAGTCAGGGGCTTGTAGATAAAACTGCCATCTCCCTGGGATAGAGCACTTGGGGGAAGGGGCAGCTGTGGGTGCAGTTTCAGCAGACTTAAATGTTCCCAACTGCCAGCTCCGAAGAAAGCAGAGGATCTCCAAGCACAGTGCTCGAGCTCTGCTAAAGGACAGACTGCCTCCTCAAGTGGGTCCTTGACCCCCATGCCTTCTGATGGGGAGACACCTCCCAGCAAGAATTGAGAGACACCTCCCACAGGAGAGTTCTGGTTGGCACCTGGCAGGTGCCCCTCTGGGACAAAGCTTCCAGAGGAAGGAGAGACAGCAATCTTTGCTGTTCTTCAGCTGCCGCAGGTGATACCCAGGCAAACAAGGTCTGGAGTGGGCTCCCAGCAAACTCCAGCAGACCTGCAGCAGAGGGGCCTGACTGTTAGAAGGAAAACTAAAAAACAGAAAACAATAGCAGCAACAACAACAAAAATGATGACCACACAAAAACTCCATCCGAAGTTCACCAACAGCAAAGGCCAAAGATAGATAAATCCATGAAGATGAGAAAAAAAACAGTGCAAAAAGGCTGAAAATTACAAAGGCCAGAATGCCTCTACTTCTCCAGAGGATCACAATTCCTTGCCAGCAAGAAAACTGGATGGAGAATGAGTTTGATGAATTGAGAGAAGTAGGCTTCAGAAGGTGGGTAATAACAAATTCCTCCGAGCCAAAGGAGCATGTTCTAACCCAATGCAAGGAAGCTAAGAACCTTGATAAAAAGTTAGAGGAATTGCTAACTAGAATAACCAGTTTAGAGAAGACCATAAATGTCCCGATGGAGCTGAAAAACACAGCATGAGAACTTCATGAAGCATATGCAAATATCAATAGCTGAATAAATTAAGCAGAAGAAAGGATATCAGAGATTGAAGATCAACTTAATGAAATAATGCGTGAAGACCAGATTAGAGAAAAAAGAATGAAAAGGAATGAATAAATTCTCCAAGAAATATGGGACTATGTGAAAAGATCAAGCCTACACTTGATTGGTGTACCTGAAAGTGACAGGGAGAATGGAACCAAGTTGGAAAACACACTTCAGTATATTATCCAGGAGATTTCCCCAACCTAGCAAGACAGGCCCAAATTCAAATTCAGGAAATACGGAGAACACCACAAAGATACTCCTTGAGAAGAACAACCTCAAGACACATAATCATCAGATTCACCAAGGTTGAAATGAAGAAAAAATTGTTAAGGGCAGCCAGATAGAAAGGTTGGGTTACCCACAAAGGGAAGCCCATCAGGCTAACAGTGGATCTCTCTGCAGAAACCCTACAAGCCAGAGGAGAGTGGGGGCCAATATTGTACATTCTTAAAGAAAATAATTTTCAACCCAGAATTTCACATCCAGCCAAACTAAGCTTCATTTGTGAAGGAGAAATGAAATCCTTTACAGACAAGCAAATACTGAGGGATTTTGTCACCACTAGGGCTGTCTTACAAGAGCTCCTGAAGGTAGCGCTAAATATGAAAAGGAAAAACCAATACTGGCCACTGCAAAAACAAACCAAAATGTAAAGACCATCAACACTGTGAAGAAACTGCATCAACTAATGGGCAAATAACCAGCTAGCATCTCGTAATGACAGGATCAAATTCACACATCACAATTTTAACCTTAAATGTAAATGGGCTAAATGCCCCAATTAAAAGGCACAGACTGGCCAACTGTATAAAGAGTCAAGAACCTCAGTGTGTTGTATTCAGGAGACCCATCTCATGTGCAAAGACACACATAGGCTCAAAATAAAGGGATAAAGGAATATTTACCAAGCAAATGGAAACCAAAAAAAAAAAAAAAGAAAAGAGGTTGCATTCCTAGTCTCTGATGAAATAGACTTTAAACAACAAAGATAAAAAAGACAAAGAAGGGCATTACATAATGGTAAAGAGATCAATGCAACAAGACGAGCTAACTATCATAAATATATATGCACCCAATACCAGAGCACCCAGATTCATGAAGAAAGTTCTTAGAGACCTACAAAGAGACATAGACTCCCACACAATAATAGGCAGAGACTTTAACACCCCACTGTTGTGTCTGGAATTGGTGGGTTCTTGGTCTCACTGACTTCAAGAATGAAGCCGCAGACCCTGGCAGTTAGTGTTACAGCTCTTAAAGATGGTGTGTCCGGAGTTTTTTCCTTCTGATGTTCAGACGTATCCAGAGTTTCTTCCTACTGGTGGGTTCACGGTCTTGCTGACTTCAGGAGTGAAGCTGCAGACCGTAACGGTGAGTGTTACAGCTCTTAAAGGTAGTGTTTCTGGAGTTTCTCATTTCTCCTGGTGGGTTTGTGGTCTCCCTGGCCTCAGGAGTGAAGCTGCAGACCTTCGTGGTGAGTGTTATAGTTCATAAAGGTGGCGCTTCTGGAGTTGTTTGTTCCTCCTGTCTGGAGTTGTTCATCCCACCTGGTTGGTTCGTGGTCTCACTGGCTTCAGGAGTGAAGCTGCAGACCTTCACGGTGAGTGTTACAGCTCATAGAGGCGGCACAGACCCAAAGAGTGAGCAGCAGCAAGATTTATTGCAAAGAGTGAAAGAACAAAGCTTCCACAGCGTGGAAGGAGACCCGAGTGGGTTGCCACTGCTGGCTCAGGTGGCTGCTTTTATTCCCTTACCTGGACCCACCCACATCCTGCTGATTGGTCCATTTTACAGGAGCTGATTGGTCCATTTTACAGAGAGCTGATTGGTGCATTTACTAACCTTTAGCTAGACACAGAGTGCTGATTGGTGTGTTTAGAATCCTTTAGCTAGACACAAAAGTTCTCCAAGTCCCCACCAGATTAGCTAGACACAGAGCGCTGATTGGTGCATTTACAAACCTTTAACTAGACACAGAGGGCTGATTGGTGTGTTTACAAACCTTTAGCTAGAAACAGAATGCTAATTGGTGTGTTTACAATCCTTTAGCTAAACAGAAAAGTTCTCCAAGTCCCCACCCATCCCAGAAGCCCAGCAGGCTTCACTTCTCATTGGCACTCGCCGTGGGACTTTGCAGCACCTAGCCCAGGCACTCTGGCAGCCCAGAGGGAGCTCATCCCAGACAACCAAGAGGAAAAGAGGGGAAGCAAGAAAGAGACGGAGACCCACCATCATGGCCAATGATCCTGCGAAGAGGGAAAGGCAGTCCCCGCATGGGATTCAGCCTCTGATCAAGCCCAGCAGGCTCCGGCAGGCTGTGCACAGTGCAGGGCTTACTGAGCCTGCGCTCACCTGGAACATGCGCTGGCTCGCGAGTGCTGCACGCAGCCCCGGCTGCCACCCGCGCCTCTCTCTTCACACTTCCCAGCAACTAGAAGGAGCCGGCTCCAGCCTCAGACAGCCCCAGAGAGGGGCCCTCCTAGCACAGCTGCTGGCTGAAGGGCTCCTCGAGTGTGGCCAGAGTAGATGCCGAGGCCGAGGAGGCGCCGAGAGCAAGTGAGGGCTGCTAGCACGTTGTCACCTGTCACTGTCAGTATTAGACAGATTGATGAGACAGAAAATTAACAAGGATATTCAGGAGTTGAACTCAGCTCTGGAACAAGCAGACTTAATAGACATCTACAGAATTCTCCACCCCAAATCAACAGAATATACATTCTTCTCAGCACCACATAGCACTTACTCTAAAATTGACCACATAATTGGAAGTAAAACACTCCTCAGCAAATGCAAAACAATGGAAATTGTAACAGTCTCTCAGACCACAGTGCAATCAAATTAGAACTCAGAATTAAGAAACTCACTCAAAACTGCACAACTACATGGAAACTGAACAACCTGCTCCTGAATGACTGCTGGGAAAATAATGAAATTAAGGCAGAAATAAAGAAGTTCTTTAAACCAATGAGAATGAAGACAAAACATACCAGAATATCTGGGACACAGCCAAAGCAGTGTTTAGAGGAAAATTTATAGCACTAAGTGCCCAAAGGAGAAAGAGGGAAAGATCTAAAATAGACACCCTAACATCACAATTAAAAGAACTAGAGAAGCAAGAGCAAACAAATTCAAAAGCTAGCAGAAGACGAGAAATAACTAAAATCAGAGAAGAACTGAAGGAGATAGAGAGACAAAAAAACCTTCAAAAAACCAATGAATCGAGGAGCTGGTTTTTGGAAAACATTAACAAAATAGAGAGACCACTAGCCAGACTAATAAAGAAGAAAAGAGAGAAAAATCAAATAGACACAATAAAAATTGATAAAGGGGAGATCACCACTGATCCCACAGAAATACAAACTACCATCAGAGAATACTGTTGGGAGGAAAGCTGAGTTGTGGGAGAGAAGCTGAGGCAGGGCTTGCATGTCTGCTAGACTTACTGGCTCTTTGCTTCTAGCACTCCCGTTATCTCAAGCAACCATATGTTTCTCATTCAGTTGGTACACTGTTTCCTCTCAATCCCCGCATCCTCACTACCTATTTGTTTGAGCACCAATAAATAGCATGGGCTCCCAGAGCTTGGGGCCTTTGCAGCCTCCACACTTGCGATGGGCCCCTGGTCCCACTTTGTCTCTCAAACTGTCTTTTTCTCATTCCTTTGACTCCACCAGACTTCGTCGCCCCCATGACCTGTTGTTGGGTGTGATCACTCCAACATTGCTGGCTGCCCAACATGGGGTGACAAAGACCCTGGTGAAGGAATGCTAGAGCATGTGAAAGCGGAGGACGCATAGTCAAAGGACACCAGAGGATGTCTAAAAGAAGCTCGGTGGGAAAGCTGAGCACTCGGAAGAACCAGGGTAACAATGGGACAAAATGAAAGCAGACACTCTACTTACTTAAATTTCTTAAGGCATTTACTATGAAGAGGGAGAGTGAAAGTTAGTACTCAGAATTTGTTATCACTCTTTAGTACAGTAAAGCAGTTTTGTCCATGGTTTCCTGAACAAGGAACTATGGAGTTGTATCAATGGGAGAGAATTGGAAGAGATTTTAAAAAGGTGTAGAAAAAGGGAGCAGAAATTCCAGTTTCTGTTTTGTCAAAGTGGGAGCTAATAAAGGCAGCAGTTGAGCCATTTCAAACAGATGATGAGGCAGATTCAGATGAGGAAGAGGATGAGTGTGAAAAACTAACTTCAGATTCTGAGTGTGAGGGACAGCTACTGGAGGAGATTAAAGAAAAGAAAGGAAAACTAAAAAAAAAGTATGTTTTACTAGCCTGTCGGCTCCACCTGCTGAATTAAGTGAATGGTCACCTCCTCTCTCTCCTCTTAATGGGTGAGAAGACAAATTAGCTGAAAAACTTACTGCTCCTGTGGTTGCAACATTAAAACCTGGAGCAATTGGTGGTGCTACCCAAAATTTTATTTCAAAAGCTAGAGCTAAGGGAAACCTTGAAGCATGGCAATTTCCCATTACTATAATCCAGCAGAGAGGACAGAATATAGCTAATGGGGCCGTTTTCCCTTTTGAGTTACTAAAGGAATTTAACAAGTCATTAGTCAATACGGACCGAACTCTCCTTTTGTGCAAACTTTATTAAAAAATATGGTTCTTGATAATAGATTAATACCATATGATTGGGATACTTTGACAAAATCTGTTCTCACTACATCTCAGTACTTGCAGTTTAAAACCTGGTGGTCTGATGAAACTCAATCTCAGACAAAGGAAAACACACAAGCACAGCCACCTGTGCCTATTTCCTTTGAACAGTTAATGGGAGTTGGCCATAATTGGGGTCGATTAGAGAATCAAGCAGTAATGGAGGATGTTGCCATTGTTCAGCTGCACTTTGTGTGCTTACAGGCATGGGAAAGGATAAATGTTACGGGTGAGAAATATCCTTCTTTCAGTTCTGTCCAACAAGGACCTAAAGAACCATATATTGATTTTATTGCTGTGCTCCAAGAGGCTGTGTATAAAGTCATAACTGATAAGACAGCTCAGGATGTTGTAATACAGCTTCTTGCATATGATAATGCTAATGCAGAATGTCAAACTGCTCTTAGACCACTGAGAGGGAAGGCTTATTTAGCTGAATATATTAAGGCTTGAGATGGCATTGGAGGTAACTTACATAAGGCTTTTTCAGATCAGGCTATGGCTGGATTAAGAGTAGGAAAGAATATGCCCCATTTCTTAGGCTCTTGCTTTAATTGTGGGCAATTTGGACACAGTAGAAAGGAATGTAGAAAAGGAAATCAAAAGGCAAAAACTACTACCATCAATCAACAGAAAAGTCCAAGTGTATGCCCCCAGTGTAAGAAAGGCAATCACTGGGCAAGTCAGTGTCATTCTAAATTTAGCAAAAATGGACAACCTCTTTTGGGAAATGGGAAGAGGGCCCGCCTCGAGCCCCTCAACATACCAAGGCATACCCAGCACAGCCAGTACACTTACAAACGTATACAAACGTACAACAGTTGTCCCCCTCCTCAGCAGGCAGTGCTGCCATAGATTTCCACAGCACAATTCCTGTCTCCTTACTTCCTGGAGAACCATCAAAGAAGGTCCCCACGGGAGTTAGGGGATGCTTACCCTCAGGAACAGTCGGTCTATTACTTGTGTGTCCGGGATTGGTTCCTTCCGGTGGGTTATTGGTCTCGCTGACTTCAAGAATGAAGCCGTGGACGCTCACAGTGAGTGTTACAGTTCTTAAAGATGGTGTGTCCAGAGTTTTTTCCTTCAGATATTCATGGTCTTGCTGACTTGAGGAGCGAAGCTGCAGACCTTTGCAGTGAGTGTTACAGCTCTTAAAGTTGGCACGTCTGGAGTTGTTCATTCCTCCTGGTGGGTTCATGGTCTTGCTGGCTTCAGGAGTGAAGCTGCAGACCTTCGTGGTGAGTGTTACAGCTCATAAAGGTAGTGCGGACCCAAAGAGTGAGCAGCAGCAAGATTTATTGCAAAGAGCAAAAGAACACAGCTTCCACAGCATAGAAGGGGACCCGAGCTGGTTGCCGCTGCTGGCTCAGGTGGCCTGCTTTTATTACCTTATTTGGGCCCACCTACATCCTGTTGATTGGTGCATTTTACAGAGAACTGATTGGTCCATTTTACAGGGTGCTCATTAGTCCGTTTTAAAGAGTGCTGATTGGTGCGTTTACAAACTTTTAGCTAGACACAGAGTGCTGACTGGTGCATTTACAATCCTTTAGCTAGGCAGAAAAGTTCTCCAAGTCCCCTACCTGACTAGCTAGACACAGAGCGCTGATTGGTGTGTTTACAAACCTTTAGCTAGACACAGAGCGCTGATTGGTGTATTCACAATCCCTTAGCTAGACAGAAAAGTTCTCCAAGTCCCCACCCGACCCAGAAGCCCAGCCAGCTTCACCTCTCACTTGGAAGTTCTAGTCTAAATTTAAAAGTTGTCACTGTGCATATGGGAATAATTGACTCTGATTATACTGGAGGAATTCAATTAGTTATTAGTTCCTTGACTCCATGGTCTACCTCTCCAGGAGAAAGAATTGCTCAGTTGTTGCTGTTACCTTACATAAAACTAGGAAGCAGCAAACTGAAAAGAACAGGAGGCTTTGGTAATACTAATCCAGCAGGAAAGGCTGTGTATTGGGTTAATCAAGTATCTGACAAAAGATCTATTTGCACAGTAACTATTCAGGGAAAAGATTTTGAAGGACTAGTAGATACTGGAGCTGACGTCTTTATTATTGCTATAAATCAATGGCCCTGGCAGTGGCCTATGCAAAAGGCATCTATTGGTATTGCTGGAATAGGAGCTGCCTCAGAAGTTTTTCAAAGTTCTTTGATTTTACCATGTCAAGGGCTGGATGGTCAGGAAGGGACAATTCAACCTATCATTACACCTATTCCTGTCAATTTATGGAGTAGAGACTTATTGCAACAATAAGATGCTGAAATATCTACTCCCATGGATCAATATAGTAATAATAGTAGACAAATGATGAAAAATGTGGGATATCAACCAGGAAAAGGACTAGAAAAAGATTAAAAATGGCCAATCAGAACCTTTAGAATTAGAAGGGCAAACAGATTGGACCAGATTGGGGTGTCATTTTTAGGAGCAGCCATTGTTGAGCCTCTGGCTCCCATTCCTCTTGTTTGGCTAACAGTCAAACTGGTTTGGGTGGAGCAATGGCCATTGAAACAGGAAAAACTGGAGGCTTTAAAAGAACTGGTGAAGGAACAATTGCAAAAGGGACATATAGAGCCTACTTTTCCCCCTTGGAATTCTCATGTATTTGTCATTAAGAAAAAAATCAGGAAAATGGAGAATGTCAAAAGATTTAAGGGCTGTTAATGCTGTGATTCAACCCTTGACAGCAGCTAAACAACACCTGAGAGGACAAAAGAAAATAAAAAGGCTGGACAAGATATATGGTGGAGGGATGCACAAACAAAGAGCTGGGAAAAAGGAAAGATGATTTTATAGGGAAGAGGATTTACTTGTGTCTCTCCAGGTGACAATCAGGTGCCTGTGTGGGTGCCCACCAAACATGTGAAGATCTGTCATGAACCACAGCCTCTAGTGGACCCACCTGTACAGTGCAAATTGAAGGTTTAAGGATTGCTTTTAAGCCTTGATTTGCTTTCTCTGTGCCTTCTGTTAGACAGAGCCTGCTTCTCATTATCAACAGTAAGTTTTATGCCACAGTAATTTACCAAAGAGGCAGAAGCCGAGTTACAAATGCTTCAGCAATGGCATGCCTCCTGGCTACAGCCACAAAAGTCTTTGCTTCTGTTTCAGTAGATTTACTAATGTGGGGGTGAGAGTATGCTTGTGTTTTTGCAGGAGAAGAACAAACCTTGTAGGTGCCCTCAAGATGTGTACAACCATGGACTGGGTTCCCCCAGTATGAGACATGCTGAGAAACTGCTGGAGCACCAGGGTTTTACTAATAGATGCTTAAAACCAATGCTTTCTGACCGAACTTCTCTCTACCCTGAATACAAGAGACCCTAATAGGTAGGCAGGAGTATCATCTCCCCTATTCAGCATGAAGAAGTTACAGAAGATGGATTTTCATCCTTCTGCAACCCCTAGGATTAAGGGTCCTCTTGTAAAAGGGAAAGGGAAGATATGTAGGAAGCATTCAAACCAGAGCGACTCCATTTGGAATAAGGGCTAAGAAAAATGAAGCTGGATCACCAACTGACAATGAAGATCTGCACAGCCTGCAATTGCCTTGCTCAATTAATTTAAAAAGAGGCCACCTTGTTAGTAATAATGATAGCTGTGGTGGTTTTTACAAAAAAGAGAAAGGGGGCATGTTGGGAGAAAAGCTGAGTGTTGGGAGAGAAGCTGAGGCAGGGCTTGCATGTCTGCTAGACTTGCTGGCTCCTTGCTTCTAGCACTCCTGTTATCTCAAGCAGCTATATGTTTCTCATTTACTTGATACATTGTTTCCTCTCAACCCCCACATCCTCACTACCTGTTTGTTTGAGCACAAATAAATAGCGTGGGCTCCCAGAGCTTGGGGCCTTCGCAGCCTCCACACTCGCGATGGCCCCCTGGTCCCACTTTCACTCTCAAATTTTTCTCATTCCTTTGACTCCGCCGGACTTCGTCACCCTTAAGACCTGGTGTTGGATCTGATCACCCCAACAAATACTAGAAACACCTCTATGCAACTAAACTAGAAAACCTAGAAGAAATGGATAAATTCCTGGACACATACACCTCCCAAGTCTAAACCAGGTGAAACCAAATCTCTGGATAGACCAGCAACAAGGTCTGAAATTGAGGCAGTAATTAATAGCCTACCAACCAAAAAAAAAAACAAAAAACAAAAACCCAGGACCAGATGGATTCACAGCCAAATTCTACCAGAGGTACAAAGAGGAGCTGTTACCATTCCTTCTGAAACTATTCTAAACAATAGAAAAAGAAGGAATCCTCCCTAACTCAAGGGGCCAGCATCATCCTGATACCAAAACCTGGGAGAGATACAACACAAAAAGAAAATTTCAGGGCAATATCCTTGAAGAATATCAATGTGAAAATCCTCAACTAAATACTGGCAAACTAAATCCAGCAGAACATCAAAAAGCTTACCCATCATGATCAAGTCGGCTTCATCTCTGGCACATGAGGCTGGTTCAACATACACAAATCAACAAACATAATTCATCACATAAAGAGAACCAGTGACAAAAACCACATGATTATCTCAAAAATGCAGAAAAGGCCTTCAATAAAATTCAACACTCCTTCATACTAAAAACACTCAATAAACTAGGTATTAATGAAATATATATCAAAATAATAAGAGTTATTTGTGACAAACCCACAGACAATATCATACTGAATAGGCAAAAGCTGGAATCATTCCCTTTGAAAACCAGCACAAGACAAGATGCCCTCTCTCACTATTCCTATTCAAATAGTATTGGAAGTTCTCATCAGGGCAATCAGGCCAGACAAGGAAATAAAGCATATTCAAATAAGAAGGCAAGAAATCAAATTATCTCTGTTTGCTGATGGCACGATTGTATATTTAGAAAACCCCATTGTCTCAGCCCAAAAACTTCCTAAGCTGATGACCAACTTGAGCAAACTCTCAGGATACAAAATCAACGTGCAAAATCACAAGCATTCCTATACACCAATAGACAAGAGAGACAAACAGAGAGCCAAATCATGAGCAAACTCCCATTCACAATTGCTACAAAGAGAATAAAATACCTCATAATACAACTTACAAGGAATGTGAAGGACCTCTTCAAGGAGAACTACAAACCACTGCTCAAGGGAGAATACAAACAAATAGAAAAACAATCCATGCTCCTGAATAGGAAGAATTAATACTGTGAAAATGGCCCTACTGCCCAAAGTAATTTATAGATTCAATGCTATTCCCATCAAGCAACCATTGGCTTTCTTCACATAATTAGAAAATACTACTTTAAATTTCACATGGAACCAAAAAAGAGGCTTTGTATCCAAGACAATCCTAAGCAAAAAGAACAAAGCTGGAGGCATCATGCTACCTGACTTTGAACTATACTACAAGGCTACAGTAACCAAAACAGCATGGTACTGGTACCAAAACAGATATATAGACCAATGGAACAGAATAGAGGCCTCAGAAATAATGCCACACATCTGCAACCATCTGATCTTTGACAAACCTGACCAAAATAAGCAATGGGGAAAGGATTCCCTATTTAATAAATGGTGTTGGCAAAACTGGCTAGCCATATGCAGAAAACTGAAACTGGACCCCTTCCTTACACCTTATACAAAAATTAACTCAAGATGGATTAAAGACTTAAACATTAGACCTAAAACCATAAAAACCCTAGAAGAAAACCTAGGTAATATCATTCAGGATATAGGCATGGGCAAAGACTTCATGACTAAAACATCAAAAGCAATTGCAACAAAAGCCAAAATTGGCAAATCGGATCTAATTAAACTAAAGAGCTTCTGCATGGCAAAATAAATTATCAACAGAGTGAACAGGCAACCTATAGAATGGGAGGAAATTTTTGCAATCTAGCCATCTGTCAAAAGGCTAATATCCAGAATTTACAAGGAACTTAAATTTACAAGGAAAAAACAAACAAGCCCATCAAAAAGTGGGCAAAGGATATGAACAGACACTTCTTAAAAGAAGACATTTATGTGGCCAACAAACATAGGAAAAAAAGCTCACCATCATTAGTCATTAGAGAAATGTAAATCAAAACCACAATGAGATACCATCTCACCTCAGTTATAATGGCAATCATTAAAAAGTCAGAAAACAACAGATGCTGGAGACAATGTGGAGAAATAGGAACACTTTTACATTGTTGGTGGGAGTGTAAATTAGTTCAACCATTATGGAAGACGGTGTAGCAATTCCTCAAAAATCTATAACCAGAAATACTATTTGACCCAGGAATCTTATTACTGGGTATATACCCAAGGGATTATAAATCATTCTACTATAAAGACACATGCACACCCATGTTTAGTGCCACACTATTCACAATAGCAAAGACTTCGAACCAACCCAAATACCCATCAATGTTAGACTGGATTAAGAAAATGTGGCACATACACACCATGGAATACTATGCAGCCATAAAACAGGATGAGTTCATGTCCTTTGCAGGGACATAAATGAAGCTGGAAACCATTATTCTCAGCAAACTAACGCAGGAAAAGAAAACCAAACACCTTATGTTCTCACACGTAGTGGGAGTTGAACAATGAGAACATATGGGCCCAGGGAGGGGAACATCACACACTGGAGCCCGTCATGCGGTGGGGGGTAAGGAGAGGGATAGAATTAGGAGAAATACCTAATGTAAATGTTGGGTTGATGGGTGCAGCAAACCACTATGCCACATGTATACCTATGTAACAAACCTGCATGTTCTGCACATGTATCTCAGAACTTAAAGTCTAATAAAAAAACAAAATTTCCAGTTTAAAATGATTTTCATGTTTATAAACATGAAAAATTTTATTAAATTAATTTCACTAATTTAACATAAGCATGGTTTGGAAAGTTTTTAAGCATTTATTGACCCTAAAACAAGATTTTCCCTAAAAAATAATTATAAATTAAATGTGAATGCCAAAATTATATATGTACCATGTAGATTTGTAGTTTATAAAATAAGCTGTGATTATGTAATTTATGTTTATAATATGTATATGTTTTTTATTTCCTTAATAATGGCATAGAGAAATGAAAAGAAACTATTAATAGATTTAGATTTTTTATCCACTTGTTAGTGAAATATTAAAGTAAAATTATTTACAGATTTTTTCATGTCTATTTCTCACACTTACAGCACATTCACACACATATTTATATATTTATGTCCCACTAGATTTTAGCAATAAAAATTAAACCTCAAAAATCTAAAATATTGATACACATAATATTTTAATTTATCTTTAAAACGTTGCTAGCTGGTATAATTTTTTTTATTATAGGCAGCAAGGAGGAAATGAGGAGAGACGTTATAGTGTAGGGTTTAATGCCATGTAGTAATATATGACAAAGGACAGAATAGGTAGAGTTTATGAGCGTGGCTTGTAGAATGATACCGTTTGAATTTGATTCTTGATTCTATCACTTACCAATCATGTAAGTTTAATTTTTCTCATGTTTCTAATACTTCCTTAAGTTTTGTTGTGATATTCAAATGAGTGAATATAAAAAGTATATGGGGCAGTGTCTGGTACGTGGTAGTGTTATAGGTGTATTTTCGCATGTATTTACTTTCCATCACCATAATAATCATTGTATTATAAAATGGCTACAAACATTTTATGAAGAATTTGAACTTTATCACTCACTAAAATTATTGGCTCTGACCATATATGTAAAATTAGGAAGTCTATGTAGTAAAAAGAATGAATCTATTTTTTTTGTTTATTTTCAGTGCTTCTGATTAATTTTCACTTAGCAATGAAATTGACAAATAAGCTACAGATTTTGGCCAAGATGTTGAATTAATCCAGGGATGACAGCTTCTTATCAGAACACGAACCTTACTGATGTTAAAAAAACACCTTAAAAATAGGTGCTAAAACGGCAGATACTAAGCAGGCAATACTATGATGTCCTGAGGAAAGCTACAATATGCCAGTGTTGCACTTGTGGGGCAACATAGAAATTAATGAGTATAGGGAATCCCTGTTGGATTCTATTACCTACTCCGTGAAGATTTAGGTTTCTAATTTGTTTTCCTTTCCTTTCTTTTCTTTTCTTTCTCTTCTCTTATTTTTTCCTGTTTTTTTTTCCTCTCTTTCTTTCTTTTTTTTAAAGAGACTTGGTCTTGCTATGTTGCCCGGGCTCAAATACAATGGCTATTCACAGGTGCAATCACAGTGTACTACTGCCTTGACCCCTGGCATTAAGGAATCCTCCTGCCTCAGCATCTGGAGTAGCTGGGATTACAGATACGCACCACTGTGCCCAGCTTGCTAACATATATCTTATCAAAAGAGAATCAACCTTTGGAGTTTTCCCTACAAAGGTCCTCTCAGATATCAGTTGCTAAAATTTCAAAAAACACAATGTCTATGCAGTAACATAATGTAGTAAAGTGATGTTGACCAAACAAGAGAGCAGAACATAAAAGCAGTAAATACAAGTTAGTTAAAACTCAATTTTACACACACACAGAGACACACACACACACACATTCACTTACATACATATTCACAAAACACACAAACACATATGTGTATTTTCTTTTTTTTTGGATGGAGTCTCACTCTGTCATCCAGTCTGCAGTGCAGTAGCGAGATCTCGGATCACTGCAACCTCCGCCTCCTAGGTTCAAGTGATTCTCCTGCCTCAGCCTCCCGAGTAGCTGGGATTACAGGCATGTGCCACCATGCCCGGCTAATTTTTGTATTTTTAGTAGAGACTGGGTTTCAACATGTTGGCCAGGCTGATCTCAAACCCATGACCTCTGGTGACCTGCCTCAGCCTCCCAAAGTGGTAGGATTACAGGTGTGAGCCATTGTGCCCTGCCCATATATGTATGTTTAACAGTTATGGTTAAATATACATATGTTTAACAGTAAATATACCAAAAAATGTATATTTAACAATAAAACAATTATGTTAAATATATATATATATATATATATATATATATATATATAATGTATGTTGACATTTATTTGGAAGCTTAAGAAATAAGAACGATGTGGTTGCAATAAACTGTTCAAACTTTACAATCCTAATTTAACTGAAAACATCTGGATTTGAAAGAACTTGCTTATTTCCTAGGAGAAGAATGTTTACAGTTTGACAATAGGAAGGTGGGAAAGGAATAGAAATATTTTAAAAACTGACATAATAACCATCCTTTGTTTCCTCTGCTGATTTGCAATAACTCCCTGGGGAGAATTTGGTGCCCCTGGATGAATGTACAAAACTGTCCAGTTCTGTTCTCAAATCAAGCTCTTAAATTCATCTCCCTTTACTACACTTTCATTATAATATAAAAAGTCAATGGGAGTAGCTTGGCATCGGGAAAATCTTTCCTGGATGATAACTCTCATGCTGCCTGATTTTCACCTCAGTGTGGCACAACCATCCTAAGTTTTTCTGATGTAAATTTTGCAAAGATTTAGGCAATTCTCATTATTGCTTCTATAAACTAGTTAATATTAAACTGACCCGTCTCTTTTTGCCTTCACTGCCCTTGTAAGCTTGGTTCTGTTTTTAGAGCTGTTTGTACAGTTTCATAGATAATTATGGATATTTATTTTTTAAATCCTATTAGAACCTGAACATCTTAGTATGTTTTATGGTCAATTTTATTCTTTCTCATTTTAGTCCTAAAATTATCTACAGAATATCTCTGAATATGTTTTCACTCTACCACATGTGGCTACATTTCTAAGTGCTATTTACTTCATTTGCAAATGGCTTTTCTCTTTATATTGCCAATGCATGGGGTGCAAACCCATTATCAGGGCAAATGGAAGTGATATCTGGAGAGTGAAGCCTTTTATGGAACTTCATCTATTTGTTCAAATCCTAGTTTCTTCTCCCACTTCACAAGAAAGCAAAACAAGCAACAATGGCCTTTATGTATATGCATACATAAGTCTCCACAATAGTTTTTTGACCTATGTTCATTTTATATGATTTACTAATTTTTAAATTTTTTAAATTTTTACTACCATATTTCATCTTTTTTTGATCATTATCATCAAAAGTCACCCACTAATTAATAATGTTCACTTACCAGGCTTTGGACTATGACATGGGAGATAAAGTTGTAAATATGCTATGAGTCAACCCCAAGAACCCACATGAAATTTGTAACATCCAAACTGCAGAGATGTTGGACAAAATAAATTAATCCAGTGAATGGAAGAAAAGACAACCTGGTAAAACAAAAACAAATAAGATGATAGGACCAAATCTTAAACTTTCAGTAACTACAGTAAATGCAAAGGCTTAAAATAATTTGTTGAAAGTAGAAAAGCTGTAATTTGATTTAAAAATAATTCAGCATTATATTATGTCCAAAGACACATTTAAAAACAAAAGGCAGGGAAAACTCAACCACAAAATTATGGACAAAAGAAAAGAACAGGTCAAATAAAGCAAAGAACTGAGTGTAAAAGTCATGTTTTAGTGTAATCATCTATGAAGTAATAATAGAATACACATTCAGAAAAGTATACAAATCAAAAGTAAACAGCTTTATACATTTTCAAAACAGAAGCAAGAGACACAAAAAATCCCCTTCAGACGACTTTCAGACACTCTCTATTTCCAAGGATAGTGTTATGCTATTCCCAAGCATGAGCATTATTTGGGCTTCTAATGCTATAGATAAGTCTGGCCTATTTTGGGGATGTTTGTGCATGGAATCACATAGCACGCATCATTTTGTGCCTGGTTTTACTGTTTCAATTTTTGTTTGCAATATTTACCCAAGTGTCTTAAATATAACTGTCATTTGTTCATTCTCATAGTTCTCTTTCATGTTCCACTCTATTACCTGTCGATTGCTGTAAAATAAATTACCTTAAAACATTGGGGCTTAAGGCATCAAACAATTATTACTTATAGTTTCTGTGAATCAGCAATCCAGGTAGAATTCAGCTATGTAAGTCTGGCTCAGGACCTGCCTCAATATTGCAATCAAGGTATGAGCCAGGATGGCAGTTGTCTCCAAAGTGTTAAAAGAAGAAAGTCTGATTCAAGCTAACTCATATGGTTCATGCTGGATGTTGGTCAGGTCATCAGTTACTTTGTGGTCCTCTTCATAGGGCACATCACGACACGGCCACTGGCTTCCCTCAGAGCCAGCAAGGGCGTGAAAGAGAATAGCCAGGACCGACGCTACAGTCTCTTCATTACTTAACCTTAAAAGTGAAATCATTGAACTTTTTGTATATTTTATTAGTTAGAAGTGAGTGATTGGGTACAGTCCATACTGGAGAGAGGCAATTACACAGGGTGTGAGAGTCAGGAATCACATTCCACCACATTCACTGTATGAATATATGACAGTTTGCTTATCTATTCTAAGGAAGATGCACAGTTAGGTTGTTTGAGATTTTACCTATTACAAAAGGAACTCCTAAGAACATTGTTTTACTTGTGTTTTTAGAAATATGTATGTATTTCTTTCAAGGTTATACCTAAAAGTAGAATGGCTGGTTTACAGAGAAATCATATGTTTAGCTTCTTTAGATACTTCTAAACAGTTACAAATGTGGTTGCAAAAATTTAAATTCCAACCAGCAATCTATAAAGAGTTAATAATTTTATTAAACTCTAATGTCTCAACAAGTTAAGTCCAGGTGCATATATGCATATATGTGTGTGTGTGTTTGTGTGCATATATATGTGTATGTGTAGTGTGTGTGTGCATATATATATATATATTTCTGTTTAGTTATCCAGTTGATTCAGTGACATTTAGGAAACAACCATCCTGTCTGCATTGTATTACAGTGCAACATGTAAACTGGTGGGACTACTGCTGAAATTTATTCTGTGACAGTTTTCTAATTTTGGGCCCTGCTTCAATGCCATGTTGTTTATGTTATTATAGTTTTATACCAATTACTACCATATAGAAACATATTTTCTCTGGATTTTTTTCTTTTTCAAGATTGCTTCAGTTGTTCTTATTCTTTTGTATTTTCAAAAATATTAGCATTAGCTTGTCAATTTACCTCACATGCTATTCTTTAATTTTCCTGATAATGTTCCCAGTAACTCTGACACTGCCTTTAAAAGAAAATTGTGTTTCTCCATTTAATTTCAGTGACTTTTAGACTTTCTATTGCTGAATTGTACTGATCGCAGGTGCTCCCTTACATTTTTTACTTTAATGGCAACCTTTGCTGCCATTGGTTGTGATGGATTTGATCATTTTCAACCTATATAATCTGTTGTCATTTCATGAGATTTGTAGAGGAGAAAGGGTACTCGTGACTAGTGCACACTGCATCATTTGCACGAAAGAGAAAATCAGCCCATGATACCCACTAGCTGGCCTGGTAGTATAAACTAGGCCTTGGCATTACTATGAGATGGTCTGGCACTCACAGCTAGATTTTGGTGTTCTTTTGTTGACCATAATCATAACACCAGATAAGGCCACACTGACCATAATGGAGAAGGGTAAAAACAGTGCTATACCATAATCACAGACCAAACATGACCATTGTTCAAGCCACAAAACATCAAACATCCCCTTCTCCCTGCTAATATAAATGGTTGTTGTTTCTTTACCAATTACAGCTGTGACATGACTCAGTCTTCCCTCCTTCTAAATAAGACATTAAAATAAGTCTTCCCTCCTTCTAAATAAGACAATTATAGAACTACTCTCTGATAACATTCAATCTAGAGTAAAGCTTTACTCCATTAAACTCTCCCCACAATCACCTAACATTGCCCCACATCCTATAACAGGTTTATTCTAATACCCACCTACTGCTCTGCTCCATAGTTGTCTAGAGTGGGTATTCTCTCTCAATGCAATAATAAATATACTCAGGTTATTCTACGATAGGCGTGTTCCTTGTTGTCTTTGGCTAAAGGGTATTGACTTTAACTGATATTAAAGTCGTTTATGCAAAACAATTCTACGTTGGATTCTTTCACAGATATGAGAGAAAAAGTTGGTAGGAAGGAATTTGTTTTGTAGTTGACAATTTGTTTATAATTTACCAGTTTAATTACACAACTTCAGCTATTTATATTCTACAGACATTTAAAATAATATTTCCATAAAATTTTGATTGCTTTAAAAGTTTAAAAATAAAGTGATTCTTAATGAAAATTTTTGAATACTAGTGTACTGAATACAACAATAAACATTTCATTAGGTTTTGCTTATTTAATAAATCTACTTGTCTCTATCCTGTTCACATTTACAATCAGATATAAATATTCACCTTTGAATATCTGCCATTTCATGTCCCTAGAAGAGATTATTTTTTTAAAAAAAACTAGGTAAATGCAAACAGTAAATGGCAAATAAAATGCACTATTTTATAAAGCTGCTTTATGGCATTATCTAATGTATGCATACTCTCATATTAATTCACTTTATTTTCTCAACACAAACAGTTTTCATGGATTTATGTGCATTATACTATTTATGAAGTTTGATGTGATTCAACATAATAAGGGAATTTGCATTTCAACAGGGTCCTTCAGTAGGTTTTGTGCCAAGAAGCTCATACTGGTATGTAATTCATTTGCTGTTAGTGGTCTCTGGACAGGATATTTCATGGCCTGGCCTTATTACTTGGTGGCACTTAACTCTCTCAGACACTGTACATTTAAGGAATAAAAAGCCAACTGTCTGTACAATAGACGGTATCTGTACATTTGTCACATTCTGCTGAATTATCATATAAATTGCCTTTACACTCTTTTATCACACAATGAACGCAAAACTCAGTCATCCCCTTGTCCCCACAACCTGTCAAGTTTTGTCCCAATTTCTCCATTATTCTGTTTCATAAATAAAATTCTTGGAGATTGATATTTTAAATATAAGTTCAGTATAATTTGTAACTTGAACTTTGCATTCCCAAACCACTAATGATGTCATTATTTTTAAAAAATCTTACTTGACCTCTCTGCGGATTTTCATATAATAGACAATTCTCCTTTTTATTATGCCCCATTTTCTCCTGGTTTCCATGACCCAGCTTTTGCCTTCCTCTTTTCCTTGTGGGTATTTTCCTTAATTCCACTCTGTCAGATAATCCCCTTCCCCTGTCTCACTAATGACAGACATCTTCAAAATCTGTAACGTTCTCCATTCTCTTCCCTCTTCAAACACTCCCCTGATTGATATTAATATTTTGTGGCTTCAAAACCATTTTTGATGACCCCTGAATATCCAGCTCTCCTGGACACCTCTTCTGGAAACTTCAGGATCAGATATTCTACTTTCTCATTAACTATCCCACCTATGTACATTATAAGATTTTCTTAAACAAATTTACAAGAAAAAACATATCCATCAAAAAGTGGGCAAAGGATATGAACAGACACTTCTCAAAGGAAGACATTTATGCAGCCAACAGACATACGAAAAAAATGCTCGTCATCACTGGTCATTAGAGAAATGCAAATCAAAACCACAATGAGATACCATCTCATGCCAATTAGAATGGCGATCATTAAAAAGTCAGAAAAGAATAGATGCTGGAGAGGATGTGGAGAAATAGGAATGCTTTTACACTGTAGGTGGGAGTGTAAATTAGTTCAACCATTGTGGAAGACAGTCCGGTGATTTCTCAAGGATCTAGAACTAGAAATACCATTTGACCCAGCAATCTCATTACTGGGTATACACCCAAAAAATTATAAATGATTCTACTATAAAGACACATGCACACCTATATTTATTGCAGCACTATTCTCAATAGCAATGACTTCGAACCAACCTGAATGCCCAATCAATGTTAGACTAGATAAAGAAAATGTGACACATATACACCATGGAATACTATGCAGCCATAAAAAGGGATGAGTCCATGTCCTTTGCAGGGACATGGATGAAGCTGGAAACCATCATTTTCAGCAAACTATCACAAGAACAGAAAACCAAACACCGCATGTTCTCACTCATAAGTGGGAGTTGAACAATGAGAACACATGAACATAAGGAGGGAAACATCACACACCGGTGCCTGTCAGGGGGCTTGGGGGGTTATGGGAGGGATAACATGAGGAGAAATACCTAATGTAGGTGATGGGTTGATGGGTGCAGCAAACCACCATGGCATGTACATACCTATGTAACAAAACTGCACGTTCTGCACATGTATCCCAAAACTTAAAATATAATTAAAAAATTTCTACAATAACAGAAGATTTTCTAACACCCCAATTATCTGAGTTTCTCCTGAAATCTATTCTTCCCCCGCGTTCTCCATCTCCATAAATGGTAACGCTTTCAGGATGGAACTGTGTCTTTACTAACCATATCTATTAAGCCTTCATGTCCTGCTGATTTGCACACAAAATATTTCACAAATATAGCCTCCTCTTCTAGCCTCCTTCATTACAATCTCAAGAAAACCATTAGTAGAGGTTGTAGCTAGATTGGGGCAGCAGCTTTCCACTAACCTGCCTATTGCACTCTCACAAACTTCAGTGGATGTTTTTGCTTCTAGTTGAGAATCCACTTTTCTCTTTCTTCTTTCTAGAAAAAAACACTGGAATTTCAAATTGTGCAATTTTAATAGGCTTAATGCCAAGATCATTTAAAGAGGGAGGTACATAGCAAAAGCTGAGTGTATCACACTCCCATAGGGTAGGGATTTTTGGATAGGTGAATGAGACAAAATTATCTCCCACTCATATCCAAATACCATCATTTAGGGGTTACAGTTTCAACATACTAAGTTGGAAGGGAGAGACGCAAATGTGCAGTCCATGATGCCTTTCTTCTCTGATGAAATTTTATTGAAATGACAGAATATATAACAAACAAATAATTTCATGGCAGGATGACGAGGCCTACTAAGAGGTATGTCACAACAGAATAGGAACATTAAAATATTTCTGAAAGTTATAAAGTAGATGACATTTGATTAATGGGAAGACATAACAGGGCTGAGGGAATCAGAAATCAGTATAGGTAAATTAGTAAACATCTAAAAGTGTATTTTTATCAGAAACACAGAAAACATTTTCCTAAGATCAGAAATAGGAAGAGTTGTAGTTAAGGGTCAGTTAGTTGAAATTAGAGAAATGATTAGTAATAGAAATATCAAATAATCACCCATCCTTAGGTGGTAGTTTGAATGGCTGCAACATTTTCCCCTAGAATAAAACTATTAAAGAGAAAAAACAGCTTTAGCTAAAAAAGTTTTGGGGGCGGCCGGGCGCGGTGGCTCACACTTGTAATCCCAGCACTTTGGGAGCCCGAGGTGGGTGGATCACGAGGTCAGGAGATCGAGACCATCCTGGCTAACACGGTGAAACCCCATGTCTACTAAAAATACAATAAATTAGCCAGAAGTGGTGGGGGGCGCCTGTAGTCCCAGCTACTCGGGAGGCTGAGGCAGGAGAATGCCCTGAACCCGGGAGGTGGAGCTTGCAGTGAGCCGAGATCGCACCACTGCACTCCAGCCTGGGCGACAGCAAGACTCCGTCTCAAAAAAACGAACGAACAAAAAAAACTCGGGTCATTTTGCTGTAGGGAGATTCCAGTATGGGCATATTTTCGTAAGAGAAAAATGTAGAGCAATGCCAAGTAAGATGTCATGAAATACCACGGCGGACAGTGATTTTCTAAACGCTGAAGGCAAACTCTTTATAGATAGAAAAACATAGAGCTTAGCTGTGAATCAATGTGACCAGGAATCCTATGGTCATCATTTATATTTATTGTGGAGGAAAAGTGATTTTACATGTTTGGAGAAACCAATTAAACCAACAGATATTGAACAGTATTGAAATTAGTTTATAAATACAAAGAAGTAGTCTAAATTCATCAGACTTTAGGCACCAAACTCAAACAAAATCCTCAAAACAAATAAACAAACAAACAAGGGAACCAATCTCTGAAGAAATACTGCTTAAAATGATAGGGAAGAAAAATAGAGATAGATAAAAATCTACTATATTTCCATAAATATATTTTGGAAAAAAATCATATCTATGGGAAAATAACCTTGTACCATATTAAATTAAGAAATTGAAAACAATAATTTTTAGCAACCGTAAAAAGGATTGTCAAAATATGCAAATAAATAAATAGGTTAATGGTATGTTGAAAATTAATTTGGTGATATGCAAATTCAGGGTAAGCGGTTCTTCTACACACACAAAACACTGTACCCTACCTGCTAGCATTCTGTGTGAATGCAATAGTTTCCCTGTACTTCCTAATTTAGTCTGTGATATTTAGCCACAGTTTCACCCTCTGTGTTGGTAAACACATCTTCACTTTTGCTTCGGATATGCTTTCTATTTTTCTTCTGATTATTTCTGGATGGTTTGCTTACCTAAATTCAACACATTAGAACCTGACACTAAAACATATGCATTTGAGTCATATTTTACATCTGATTTTTTTTTCAGAGTTTGTTAACGTCATTTGGAAACTGGTAGTTTCAGGGTTGGATTAGCAGGTCAACAACAGCATCATCAGTAACTCAAAATCTACCCACTTGCTTTCTTCTCTTCAGTGTGTCGACTCTTCCCCTACTAGTCCGTTGCTTGTGGTCACAAGATGGCTGCTTCAGCTATATTACTCTTGTCACATTTATGACAGGAGGGAAACATGGTGGCAAGTGTGTACACTTCGCTCAAGCATGCCCCTTTTGTAAGGGAGAATGACTTCTCTATAAATTCCCAGGAGAATATCCCCTATTATTTCGTAAGCATATGACTGCCATCACAAAGAAACAATAGGATATTCTTTCTTGAAATCAGGATCTTTTTCCCACCAATTGAAAACATTTCACTATTCTGTTAATAGGAAAGTGAGCGGCAGATTCTCTGCAGGTTTGGCAAGGTTACAAAAGAGCATAACACAAATCCTCGATAAAGAGAAACAGAAAAACAATACAATAAGGACAGCTAAAATATTTTCAAAATCTTTTTTTTTTCTTTTTTTTTTTTTGAGACGGAGTCTCGTTCTGTCGCCCAGGCTGGAGTGCAGTGGCGCGATCTCGGCTCACTGCAAGCTCCGCCTCCCGGGTTCACGCCATTCTCCTGCCTCAGCCTCCCAAGTAGCTGGGACTACAGGCACCCGCCACCACGCCCGGCTAATTTTTTGTGTTTTTAGTAGAGATGGGGTTTCACTGTGTTAGCCAGGAAGGTCTTGATCTCCTGACCTCGCGATCAGCCGCCTCAACTTCCCAAAGTGCTGGGATTACAGGCCTGAGCTACTGCACCCTGCCCAAAAATCTTAAATATGAAGTAGAGTAATGTGGCATTGTGGCAATGGAAGGAGAAATGGAGTAAAGGAAGTACATATAAGTGTGTATGTAGGTAACTGTTTACGTGCTTACACATATATGCAAACACACGCATATTGTTTCTGCTATTTTGTTGTTGTTAATGGGATAATCTTGAATATTAATAAGAACCTGTTGTAATCTCTTCTTTTAACCTTAATACATGTGGACGCAGTTTCTGTTTTAGTTCCTTATCTACAAAATGATGACACACAGAATCTCTTGTACTTTATGAAAAAACACTCCCACAAAGCATTAGTAATCAATTTGAATTTCACAGACTGTTTCGTATAATATATGTAGGAGAATACAAACAACCTGTGTCCATAATAAATAACTTAAAATGCCCTGTTAGCCTTTCATCTTCTTCCATTGTTCCCTGGTTACGGTTAAGTTATTGCTTGGTTTGCTAGAATAGTCTTAATTTACTACAGTTTTTGAAAAAAAAGAGTAAAAGCGAATCTCCTTCTACTCTTCAGTAACTTGATTTAACATTAAATCATAATTTTACCCTACTACATGTGGGTCAAATAACCAGGAAGGCAGGAGGGAGGAGATGGCATGTTGATTCTCTCTTTGACCTAATTTTTCTTGGAATTTATTTACTTATCTCTCTCCCTTCATGCTTAGTACTTTACATGTATTTGCAAATCTTTATTTGTCTCTAAGCCTTAAGGTTGGCCAATGCCCAGTTTCTTCATCCCATGTTTTACCACAATAAGATTTACTAAAATATATTTCCAAAATATGTATTTATTCCCTAGTAGGGATTCTCATACCTCTTGCTAAATTGTCACAAAATCTCTCCAAACACTAGATAGACAGGCAGACAGAGATAGATAGATAGATAGATGATAGATAGATAGACAGATAAAGTTGCAGACATTAGAAAGTAAAATGGACTATTATCAAAGTTTTCAAATTAAAAACAAAAAAGTGTAAGTGGGACTTATAATTTACTGAAGGGTTTTTCTGTTTGTTTGTTTGGGACAGGGTATAAATATTTTTCCCATCATGAAGAAAAGGAAGTAGTTAGTGGTGGGGTAAATCGAACAAATATATAGGTGGTAGAGAACATAAATTGAAAGACAATCAATTCTAGCTTCTCTGTGAAAGACTATCTTCTATGTAAAAGAGACAATGTTTACTGTTTATGGCAAATACATGGGCCTTATTTTGAGTTAGGCAGTGTGGGATGTAAAGCATCAGCTAACTGGTAATAACCAGGATTAGAGCTGATGTCCCTGTTAAGAAAGTAGATAATAAACTTGTAATAATATCGATACCCGTTAATGGTGTAATTTGTTCAATATTCTGGGTACTTTTCTTCAAGATCACCATTTTTCAAGTTCAGTCTATTGTGAGGTACACATCTAGATTCTTCCTAATAATGAATTAAATTTATATATCAAACTTACAAAAAGCAGATAAATAAAATTTAAGTTGTGGGCTATATCTATAACTTAAGTGAATGTAATGGTGACTATCCTCAAAATTATCATGTGTTGGGTTATGTGTATCACCCTTTTAGGATTCTCACAGCAGATCTAAGGTTTGCAGGGTGCTAGCCTCTCAGAAGGGTCACATTGTATAAGAATATTGCCCAACCTGCTGTGCATGGTCTCACGTCTCACAGCATTTGCTTCTTTGTCAAAACCTGTGGATCTGGATCTTGGCTTACCTCTAGTTCTGATTATTTTATCCTCCCATTCTGCTGTTGGATTGCCATAATGGGCCTGTGTTTTTGTTGTTATTGTTGTTAGACTTCGATGACACCTTGATTATTCTCTCTTCTAAGGCCTATCCTGATTTGTTCTCACCCAAATCCACCCCAACTGCAGAAATAAGGAAAAAAAAAAATACAAGAAACAAAACAAAAATATATGACACAATCTTTTTGGTGTAACTTTCAATATCCTTGAAAAAATTTATTTTTAATGTGTTAAATGAGAAAGAAAGCCTGCAGTCTTCTCGAACAAGACAAAGAACATTTCCAGCCCTCCAAATTATTTGATTGGTCACTTGTGAGATTTCACCATTCCTTATTCTTATAAATAATTCTAATTTATTAATTTTCCACTTGTATTTCAACCAAATTCCAATGAAGTTCAAAGTATTTGGACACATTACTAAAGTAATAGCTTATCAAATGATTTACTAAAACTATTAAACAATTATTTGTATCAGTAGTAACTTTTACACAATATCAAAATACACATTCTAAGAATACAAATATGCCATCAAAAAGACTATATCAAGAACAACATAGTCCAATGAATTAAAAGCTTTGCTACTGAGTAAGTACTTAAATGGTAATAAAGATACACAACTCTTCTTTTGTCAGAATTACATAAGAAAACTAAACTGATTCTCCACTGACTAGATAAAATATTTTCCTTGATAATACCTCAGAATATAAAATCAGGCTTTATTCAGGTTGCCAAAATACAGAAAATTAGACAGTGACAAAATATATAATTTTTTTCCATGATGTATTTTAGTAGTACCACTTCAAATAACCATTTTTGGTTTAGAATGCAATGTATAGTGTACCACATTCAGGCAGAAATATTTATTTAAGCAGAATTCTCTAAGTTCTTACTCGTATTTGATCTGAAAATCAAAATATTGGTTGCAAGCATGTTTCATCACCTTTATATAACCAGAAGTATCCTTATTACCTAGAAGTATTCTTGAATGCAGAGAACACATAATAGTATTTATATGAATATTTATATTAAGTAAGAGAAATTCAGGTTTTGATTCTTAAATTTCTACCCACTATGCTTTTGTGGAAAAAAAAACTTGAAAGGTGGTAGCTAAAATAAATCTCTATAGTGACCCATTCTTGTTTCATTTTCTATCCTTAAGATGCTCTTTTATCAAAATCTATACCTAGATCTGAGATGCCTCTTTCTTGTTTCATTCCTTGTTTTTATATTTTTAGGCTTCTGGTCAAAGTTTGTCTCTTATTCTTTAAATCCTCTAAAGGATTCTTCAACATGGAACATATTGGCTTACACATCTGCGAGCATTGTTAGACAGTGAGAGCTGTGAAAGCAAGTGATGTTTTATTTATTTGGGTTTTCCCCATATGCATGCTTGGGTCTGGCATTGAAGTTACCTCAATTTCAAAACATTCAAAGAAAATGTATGTATTATATATTTTTGCATGTCTTAGCCAGCCTTCCTACATTAATATTGCTTGTAGTTCCTTCCCTAATAAAGATATACCTTTAAATAGGTATTTTAAAGCTTCGTTTATTCTAAAAATCTTGATTTTCAGAAAATAAAACACTTTTTTTGTATTTTGTATTGATATAACATAGTCGTACATATATTGGTGTACATTTTATGTTTTCATACATTTATACAATGTGAAATGTTCAAAGCAGAAACATTTGGATATCCATCACCTTAAACATTTATCTTTTCCTTGCTATGGAAAAGAACATTACAATTCTTCTCTAGGTATTTTGAAATGTAAAATATACTGTTAATTATAATTTCTGTACTGTACTATCGAATACTAGGGCTTATTCCTTCCATCTTACTGTATTTTCATGTCCATTAACCAACTCCTCTCCATCCCCCTCAAGTCATGCTTTATGTATAAAGCAAGTCTTGGCTTACATTTCTTGGCTCACATTTTTAATGTTTCAAACTAACACATGATAACTTCATGATATTATTCACTGCTAATTTGGCTTACAGATACAAATTCCTATTTTAGATGGCTTGTTCTCCCAAAAAGTGAGAGTCCCTTTCTTCACCATTCAAAAGCTGTGAACATTAATAATAATAATAATAATAATAATAAAGATTCATTTGTAAATAATACCTCACCACAAGTCAAAAATAAATTCATACTGAGTAGTTTTCTGAAGAGTTAATTTCTAAAGGGTTTTAGAAAATATTATGTAAAACATAAAGACATATGTCAATGAAAAATACATTACATCATCAATCCCACATTTGTTTAAAAATTATTGGATATCTATACCTCATGCATACACAAAACAAACAGTAAAATGAACTGTTTTATTTTATTTTAAAATCTCGGTCTAGTTTCTTTAACTTGAATCACAAACATGGGCATGCCCTAATTGATTTAGTTCCTTTATGTTTTTATGTAACACATTTGATTTTCATCTCAATCATTTGGGACTGCTATAATATACAATAAGAATTGCTTGGCTGACAGCAAAAGAATAGATTTGAAGCAAAAATATATGCATAAGTATAACTGAAAATGGAAAGAATCAGTATTCAAAAACAGGATCTGTCAAACAATTTTCTGTAACGATTCCAATCAAATGCAGTCCCCCAAATATTCCATTTAAAGTATACTTTGCTATTATAAAACACTCACATAAAATAGGAAATAGAATTCCAAGTACAGTTCATGACATTTTTTATTCATGATAATCCTATCATTTCTCCATGCTATTTCAAATGTCGTTACCATAATCCCTTAAATATTTTTGCTTTTAGCTTCTTATAATATCTTGATACACCAAGTGAAGAACATTTCAAACAAAGTAACATTTTCCACTTTATGATTAGATGAGAAATTGAGTTTCAAATAGATTCTCCTGATGTATTCAAATATTTTTCTAGTTTTAAATTATACAAAGTATTAAACTTTCTTTTCTTCTAAAAGTGTATTTTGAATGTTAATTTTTTTTATCGTGCCTCAACATGAATTCCCTTCTAAACTAGATGACATTATTATTTCTTTATTTCAAGCTTTGATTTCTCACTTTTTTATTTGCTAAAATCCTTTCTATCCATTGATCCTTTTTACCTATTATATGAAGAACTCAGTTTTTTAATTTACCATCTTTTACCTGAATACTCTACTTCATTATTATTCCATTTTCTCTAATCTCCCAATCTTTAAATAAGCTCTTCTTTTCCTCTCTTACGTTTTCAGGATGGCATAAGTACATACACTTTTGTGGCAATGCCTGGGGAAGGATTTTAGTCAATATAAATTCTTAAGGTGCAATTCCTACTATCATTAATAATATTTAGCAGCTACCCTTGAATAACTGATCATTTCAATTTGAAACAAAATTACCTAACAAAAGCACATTTAAAATTTTCTTTCATTATTGAAATTTTTTTTCTACTGAGTTAGCAAGATTACTACACAAAAATAGTTGAAGAGTTTTCACAGCTACATAATAGAAAACAAACACACATCGAATGAAGGGGCCAGGAAGATAGATAAATAAAAATATAATGTACATTTAATATATACTAAACTAGGTACCAACAATATGTCATATAAACAATGCCATCATTTGAAATAAATATGTACATTTAAAAATTAAAATAATTTATTAGAATTCAACTTTCTTCTTAAAGGTTAATATTAATATTGCCACAGTCCTTATATTTTAATATATTTGTAAAATAGATATCATAGTTCCACCAATTATTTTTTAATTTCTTAAAAATTTTACTTATTTATAAATTATAAAAAAGAGTAGATGATTATATTGAGGTACTCACCTACACTACTGATAAAATAATTAAAGATATGAGTAATTAATGCAATGGGAAAGAAATAGAAAAATATCAAACTTGATCACTAAAATGAAAAATTGTTTCCTCGAAAATACAAAAAGCATTATGAACCTTAGACAAGTCTAATGAAGCTCCAAGTAAGGAATGCATAATTTTGGAATTATAAAATTTGCATATACTCAGTAGATTTAGTAGTGTTGTACACACACATACACACAACAATGCAACTGAAACACATGATAAATTTGATGATTCTTCAAGAAAATATAATTTGCTAAAATCGATTTGTGAAGTAACAGAAAATTTGAATTGTATAAAATATCATCACAGGATTAAAAGTTATTCAAAGCTACATCCCTTTTAAAATTCACTGGATCCATCTGTTATTATAAACATTGTTTTGGAGTACAGTCAAAGAGAAGATACTCCTCAAACTCTTATAAAAAAGTTAGTACAACACTGAAAGAAGTAAAAGAAAAATACATGACTGGCATCTTCCATCTCCCTTATGAATAGAGGTGGAAAAATCTCCATAATGTTCCAGAAAATCGTACCCAGCTAAGCACTTAGTTTTTTAAGGCAATTCATTATTTCAACTCCACATATTATTCTCAGTAGATGACAAAAACTTTGATTCAGTTTCAAAATCTATTACTGAATAAAGACTTAGAAACCTAAAAATAGAAGAAATAGATTTGTATTCCTAGGAATGTAATAAATCCACAAATATTACAGAGATAAAGTTTTCCATTAATGTCAAAAAGATGAACAAGTTCTCACTGTTCACTATGTCTATTACTTAACATTTTGCTATCAGTCTTAGACTATTCTGTAGGTGAAAAATAAAGAAAAAATAAAAATAAAAAATCATAAATCCTGAAAAGGACAATACTTGCTGGGATTTTTTTCAGAAGGTATTACATAACTTGAATGTAGAATAAAATAATTTCTAAAATATTACCCCTAACATTAGAGTTAAATACATTATATTAATGTGTTCTACATAAAAAGTAACTTTTCTATATAATAGCATTATCTAAATAGAAAGTTCCAGATGAAAAGAATTAAATCATGTCCCTCATAGGAAAGCTGCTATTTAGAGAAACACGACGTGTTTATACCTAAAAAACTCTTATAATTAGTGAAACTCTGGTTAACATTTTAAGCTTTTCTTTTTAATGAAGTAGCTGATTCTTATTTTTTCCCAAAGAAGGATAAAAATAATGAAACATTTATAAAATAAGGAATTACAGAAATGAATGTAATAAATAAAAGGCAAAAGCCAACCTCTACCACAACCCAGCTTCTCTCCTCTAAATGACTACATAACCTTCGATATCAATAGACTTTATTTCAAATTCCAAAAATAATATATAAAGAATAATAAGATAGTAAATAGCTTATTTCTCAGATAAAGTTAAATATGTATGGGTTTTACTTCAAAACCTTTTAAGTTAATTTTTTTAAAAAGACCATTAAAAATAACTTTGAAGTGTTTTTTGCTGTGCTCCAGCCATTGGCAGGCTTTCCTACCCTGGAGACAATGGTAAAGAGATGTGTAAAGTGACAGGTATTGTCTTTCCTGCTCTTTCACTTTTTGTTTTCCTAAAACAACTCTTCACGTGATAAGAGGGATTATATTGGGAATCATTTTTATATTTTAATTCATATACTTTATTTAAAATTATTGCACTAAAAAATTATTATGGCAGTGAGATGCCTAAGGAAGTTTTCCTATGAAGGTAGGTATTGCCAATAGTAATCAGAGAAGAATATGATTATTTAAAAAGATTCTGGTTTGGGGACCCAGAAGACTTACATTTTACTCCTTTGGCAAGCAAATGAAAAGCCCTATGCTAAAATATTCTTACCTTTAAGGTATGGTTTACACTGTAAATATTAAATTTCTGAATATTCTGTTTAATTCTTTAGATTTTCTATGTTTCAGGAACTAAACTGAACTGGATATTTTTTCCATTTCAGTGCTGATTTAGTACTAATTTATTTATTTATTGTCATAGCTGAACATTATAATCACAAGGACTTCATTTCTAAAACACCAAAAGCAATGGCAACAAAAGTCAAAATTGACAAATGGGATCTAATTAAACTCAAGAGCTTCTGCACATCAAAAGAAACTACCATCAGAGTGAATAGGCAACCTACAGAATGGGAGAAAACTTTTGCAATCTACTCATCTGACAAGGGGCTAATATCCAGAATCTACAAAGAACTCAAACAAATTCACAAGAAAGAAACAAACAACCCCATCAAGAAGTGCGCAAAGGAGATGAACAGACACTTCTCAAAAGAAGACATTTATGCAGCCAAAAGACACATGAAAAAATGCTCATCATCACTGGCCATCAGATAAATGCAAATCAAAACCACAATGAGATACCATCTCACACCAGTTAGAATGGCGATCATTAAAAAGTCAGGAAACGACAGGTGCTGGAGAGAATGTGGAGAAATAGGAACACTTTTACACTGTTGGTGGGACTTTAAACTAGTCCAACCATTGTGGAAGACAGTGTGGCGATTCCTCAAGGATCTAGGACTAGAAATACCATTTGAACCAGCCATCCCATTACTGAGTATGTATCCAAAGGAATATAAATCATGCTGCTATAAAGACACATGCACACGTATGTTTTTGTAGCACTATTCACAATAGCAAAGACTTGGAACCAACGCAAATGTCCATCAATGATAGACTGGATTAAGAAAATGTGGCACATACACACCATGGAGTACTATGCAGCCATAAAAAAGGATGAGTTCATGTCCTTTGTAGGGACATGGATGAAGCTGGAAACCATCATTCTCAGCAAACTAACACAAGACAAAAAACCAAACACCGCATGTTCTCACTCATAGGTGGGAATTGAACAATGAGAACATCTGGACACAGGAAGGGGAACATCACACACTGGGGCCTGTCGTGGGGTGGGGAGGGGGGGAGGGATAGCATTAGGATATATACTTAATGTAAATGATGAGTTAATTGGTGCAGCACGCCAACATGGCACATGAATACCTATTTATGAAACCTGCACATTGTGCACATGTACCTTAGAACTTAAAGTATAATAATAAAAAAAAAAGAAAACAGATATTGAACCACACTTCTAGATTCATTTGGAGTAGATCTAGGCATTTTTATTATACTAAAATGCCATTAGATAATTTAGGTGTTGCCAGATTTGAGAATTTTGAAAATTAAAATCAAATGGCCTGGTTTGGTATTTGAAATTAATGTTTACTAGATAAGAAGGCTTTCTATCCATTACCCAGTCTCAAAGGAAAGTGATTTGTGAATGAGAATTTCAGTGAGTTCAATACAAAGAGGGGATAGGAGCTAAGGTTTCTGAGAAACTCCAATTTGTGTATAATTGTTAAAACAGAAAATTAACTTTATATAAGAGACCTGCTAAGCAAAACTGAAATTAACTCCTTTGTTGAAATATTATGACGGCTGCTTTATTTATTATTATTATTTAGGTGGAGTCTTGCTCTGTCGCCCAGGCTGGAAAGCAATGGCACAATCTCGGCTCACTGCAACCTCCGCCTGCTGGGTTCAAGCGATTCTCCTGCCTCAGCCTCCCAAAAGTAGCTGAGATTACAGGTACCCACCACCATGCCCGGCTAATTTTTTTGTATTTTTAGTAGAGACCGGGTTTCACCATATTGGTCAGGCTGGTCTCAAACTCCCGACCTCAGGTGATCCACCCACCTTGGTCTCCCAGAGTGTTCGGATTACAGGCATGAGCCACCACTCCCGGCATGATGGCTGCTTTAAAATCTCTGAAAGTTCCAGTATCTGGACTTATCTGGGACTTCAGATCACTTGATTGCCAGGAATTTTTTTTGGTTCTTGGTATGACAAGTGATTTTTTAAATTGTTTTTGTTTTGGATATTGATTTAGGAAATTTTTGATCCTATTTAAATCTTCTATTTCATCAGGCATTTTCCTATTTAGGTTTAACATGTAGATCTGAACTACATTTTTTTTCTTTTCTTTTAGTTAATAAATAACAATTTTATGTATTTATGGAGTACAATGTGATGTTATGATACATGAATACATTGTGGAATGAGTACATCAAGCTAATTAACATATGCAATATCTCACATATTTATCATTTCTTTATGGTAAGAACATTTGGAATCTACCCCTTTAGCAATATTGAAATATGCAATATATTAACTAGAATCACTATGGTGTGCAATAGATCTCCAAAATGTTTCCTCCTCTCTCACTGAATCTTTGTACATTCGACCAACATTTCCCCTTTCCCTGCCCAGCCCAGCCCACTCCCAACCCCCAGAGTAGATCTAGTGATTCTCAGCTTGCTTAACCCTTGCACTGCTGTTCTGGTCTTCTTTATCCTTCTGGATCCAGGAAGGCATCCTTTGTACTCCGCAGATGCCAGCTGTTGAGGCGAAAGGCACTTCCCTGGGACATGCCCATGTTGCTAGTTAGGTAGCAGGGGATACTGGATTGAGAATGTTTCCTCTGGCCTGTTCATCCCACACCTGGTGCCACAAGCTTCCAGGATATCTTTGCTGGTGCTGTTGGGGAAAGGAAGCACCTACCTGGACAGCCTTCTGCAAATAGATGAGATCAGGAGTTCCTGACCCTAGTCTACCTTCTGCTGCAGGGTGAAGGAAAACCAGGAGATCCTGGATCTGTTGGAGCTGAAGTACAATCAGACCAGGTCTGCTGTTACCAGATGTGTTCTGGGTGGTAGATGAGTCAGTCGGCCCCACTCACTGGTGCTGTTGCTGGCACTCAGTATGGATTAGTGGATGGGTCTCTCTGCCAGATCTAGGTAGAGCTTACTTTTTTTTTTAGATACTTGGCCAGAGAGCAGGCTTTTCTTGTGTGGTGTGTGTGGGTGGGTGGGTGGGGGGCAGGTGTATGTGTATGTGTATTTGCTATGCCTGTTAGCAGTTCTGGGTTGCAGGCCTGTCCAGTGCCCAGACTGGGATAGACAACAAATGAAAACAAAACCTACGGAATTCACTGAGACATATTTCTTCAAGTCCTGAGGACCTTAGCCAGTCTTTTCTCTTCTTTCAACTTTTCAGAGCCCCTTTATGATTGTTTGTTATATTATTTCCAAAGTATTTTGTTGTATTTAGAGGTGAGAATAAGGAAAGAGCGAGTTTACATCACTTTGTCTAGGACCGGAAGTACTGAAGTTAGACACCTTTTCATCAGTGGACTTACTGACTTACTGTCCCTAATTAGATTATTAGATTATTATTATTATTATTATTTGTTGAGATGGAGTTTCGCTCTTGTTGCCCAAGCTGGAGTGCAGTGGCGCGACCTCGGCTCACTGTAACCTCTGCCTCTCGGGTTCAAGCAATTCTCCTGCCTCAGCCTCCCAAGTAGCTGGGATTAGAGGCATGCGCCACCACACCCCGCTAATTTTTGTATTTTTAGTAGAGACGAGGGTTTCACCATGTTAGTTAGGCTGGTCTTGAACTCCTGACCTCAGGTTGTTCACCCACCTTGGCCTTGCAAAGTGCTGAGATTACAGGTGTGAGCCACCGCGCCTGGCCAGATTCTTTAAGAGTTATAATGGCTACAGAGAGAGAAAAAAAAAATCTGCGTTAATAAAATCTACACTCTTAAACACTTGTCTCTGGGTTTTGTCACTAAAATAGTAGAAGTCCATAGCCTCATCCAATTTTAACGTGTATTTATGCTTTTCTATATTTTTTCAATTCTGAATCAAGTATCAAGTGATTATTTCAATATGTCCTGCCTGTCTTTTTCCATGGTTTACAGCAATTTAAATCCCAAAGATCTCTCTCTCTCTCTCTCTTTTTCTTTTCCTTTATCTGCTTTACTTTTCTCCTCTCTTGACAGATTCATTTTTATTTAATAAAACTTCCGGCTTCCATTCTATGACTTGCTGCTGACACCTATTAAATTGTGACACCACATATGAAAATGTTATTTATTTAAAACTACAAACATTCTATAATTGATTCAAACTTAAATTTCAAATAAAAACACTCAGGTGCTGTGATTTAACTATATCAAATAATTTTAAATAAGTTGGTAATTAAAATACTGGGAAAATAATTCTTAAATAACTCAGTATATTTTCACCATCGTATATACCATATACTAGTAATGATAATTAGGGTTGCCATAGCAACATAAAAGTAAAGCCAAGACTATATTCACCCAATTGAAATGATCCAGTAAAAGCATAAGAGCAAAGATATTTGAATTCACCAGTAAACTTATTCACACAGATTTCCTATTTGTCAAGATTTAAGAAACTATAACTCAACAGAAAAGAAACTGGGAGATATAAAGTAACTAATGATAAATTATTTAACAGGACATTTAGTAATAAAACATAAAATAAAGACTTCAGTAGCTTTCTAGTCAACTGTTCCTGGAGAACTTGTTCAAGCATTTAGAATTTTAAAAGGATTTTCTCTAAACTAGACATAGTGATTGAGAATCTAGAATATATTTTAAATAATTTTATGATTATTCATACAATATTCCATAACAATAAAATTTAGTGAGTATGCCTGAGCTAGTAATTATATTTTCTTTAAGACACATACAGTATGTAAAAAAAATAATGCATGTATGGTGGCTACTGTTTACTGCCTGACCGAATGAGGTAGAAATGGCATGCTAAAAATGTGAAAACATAGATATAAGTAATCTATTATAAACTACTGAAAGGAGTTCTAATCTGCAATATATTTTCTTATATTCCCTGTATCTCTTAATATAACTTATTTAGCTACTTACGGGTTTCTAGCACTGGGCAGTAGTAATAGTCTACAAAGTTCAGATAATATCTATTAGTTCTTTAGACATTGTAGTTCAGAATAATCTTAATTCCTAAAAGACTTTTTTAATGCAAAAGTTAAATGGTTTAAGTAAAATTTATTCAGAAATATTTACATTTTTATGGTATATTTTAGATAATTCTTTCATGCAATATGGAAAATCAACAACTATTTTTACCTGATAATTAAAGATATAGACATTAAATGTTTCAAGGGAATTAAAAGAAAGTAGCACTCTATATTTTTTGTTGAACTAATATTAACTATTGTGTTACGGAGTCAGAAATTTGACTATTTTAAAGAGATAGTGCATTCCTGTCGATATGAAGAAAAAAATTGCTGGTTAAAATCAAATAATAAATTGCATGTTAAGCATGCCATATTTGTTATTTTCAGTTTCTCTGAAACTGATCTTTATTTGACATTTTATTAAGCTTTTCCCCTTTCAAAACAAGATTCTATTCCTAAGAATAGATAACAGATGACAGGTTTATTTAGAAATATTGTAATATCTGAAATATATGTTCTTTGGATAGAAATACATATTTATTAAATATGAATCAATATTAACTTCATTAAAATTATGTAAGAAATACTAATTTTAATTCTACAAATAAAATTATCTATAGTTTCTATGACTTTACTTTGAGTTTTGAAAGTATCACTGTGTAATAATAATTTAACTGTGATGAAGTAACAGGTATCAAACTATCCTCCTGACTGTGAGCAAATCTAAAACCACAGAAAATATAGGAAGCACCTGTTTTCAGGATTTTGACAGTAGCAGCCCTTGTCTGTGACCCGGGGATAAGTGAGATATACAAAGTATACTTCACAGCAGTCTAGAGGTTGCACAGAACTGGGAGACAACCAGCCAGCCAGAATGAAGATGCCTCACTGGACACTCTAGGAATCACTTGAGACCCAAGAATGGCTCTACCTTAGAGGCTTATAGAGCTACTCCGTTTATACTGTAAGAGCTACTCTAGAACTGCCCTAGAAAAGGCCGATGTAAGCACCAATAGGTCAAGCTGATCTGCCAGTAAATTAACTAACAACTAGAACAAAAATCAACACGAAATTCACTTGCTCAACATTGTAGCATGCACAAATTCCTGTGTACAATAAAACATACTAGATACGTGAAGACACAGGAAAATGTGTCATAACCAAGGTGGAAATATACAGATTAGAACATGTTATAATTAACAAAAATTACTTAAAACAAACATTGCTTTTGTTATGAGATGAATGTAAGTAATGGGAAGATTGAGAATCTCAGCAGAAAAGTGGAAATTATTAAGAAAAAGAAAAAATTTGAACTTATATAATAAAAAATATATGATGTAAATATCACTACAGGGATTTAACAGAAGACTGGACACTGCAGAAGAAAATGGACCTAGAAAATACATTAATAGAAATTGTTTAAATTGAGAACAATAAAGAAAGGAAATAGACTGAAAAATGAACAATACCTCTGTGACATGTGTAAAACAATATGTGTACTTTTGTAACCTATAAATAATTGAAGTCCCAGAAAGAAGAGAAACTGAAGCAGAAAAAATATCTGTATAGATAATGAAAAAACTTCTCCTGATTTGATAAACAGCATTAAACTAGAGACCCAAAGAGTTCAATAATTGCCCAGAAAGATAAACACAAACAAACTGCATATATGCACATCAGGGTCAACTTATTGAAAACTAAAGATAAATGATATTAGAAAGCTACTTGAGGGGAGGTTATGGAAGAAAATTATACATAGGAGATGATTGATAAGACTGCTGATTTTTCCTTCAAAGGAATACATCTCAGTATCTTTAGAACACAAATTTAGACAATGAAGCTACAGGTTAGACATCTCCTGCTCTTCACTTCTAATTTAATTTGATCTTCAGGCTCTGTTTATCATCTATGAAAGTGGTTGCTAATCTTTTTGTTTATAGACTTCTTTATGAGAGAGATTATAAACACAATAAACACACAATGTGTCAATGTCACATACATTTGCATTTAGACATTTCCATATGTGCTATCCATGTTACAAAGAAGTTATGAGTCTACAGAGGACCATCTACAAAACGACCAGTGTCTGTGTTGTGGAAAAATACAAACAGACATCCTTCTTTCAGACATACTTAATGAGAAATATGTTCTTGGAAAAATAGAATATATACAAGCAGGATAATCAAGCAGGACATTCTTTTTATTATATTATCTTTATTATTTTGGCTCTGCCATGTTAGCAATAATAAGTAAATTCTGATCAACTAAAATGAAAAATGCATAAGATGGACTTAACAGTAGATTTCAATAGGCAAAAGAAAGAATTCATGAACTTACAGATAGATTTATTTAGACTAAACAATTTGAATTAAAAAATGTGAAAAATAAACAGAGCCTTAGAAAACTGGAGGACCTCATTAAGGGCACTAATACATGATGATGGGAGTAACCGAAGAAGAGAAGAGAAAAAGGAACAGAAAAAATATTCAAAAAATAATGGTTAAAGTTTTCCTAGTTTGATGAAAAATACTAATCTACACATTCAAGCTCAGTGAACTCCAAGTCGGATAAACTCAAAGAGGACACAGACGTATCACAGTAAAAATGCTGAAAAACAAAGACAAAAAATCTTTAAAGCAGCAACAGAAAAATGACTCATCATGTCTAGTAACATTAATGGCTAAATTTCATTAGAAAAAATGACCCGGGCCGGGCGGGGTGGCTCACGCCTGTAATCCCAGCAGTTTGGGAGGCCGAGGCGGTCGGATCATGAGGTCAGGAGTTCGAGACCATCCTGGCTAACATGGTGAAATCCCGTCTCTACTAAAAATACAAAAAATTAGCTGGGCACAGTGGCGGGCGCCTGTAGTCCCAGCTACTCGGGAGGCTGAGGCAGGAGAATGGTGTGAACCCGGGAGGCAGAGCTTGCAGTGAGCCGAAATCGTTCCACTGAACTCTAGCCTTGGCGACAGAACAAAACTCTGTCTCAAACAAAAAAAAAGAAAAAAAGAAAAAAATGACCCAGAAGGAATGGGACGACCTATTCAAGGTGCTAGGAACAACAACAAAATCCCAACAAGCCAATATCAAGAAATGTATATACATCAAAAGTATCTTGTAATAAAAAAATTTATATTAATACATTCTGATATAAACAAAAAATAAGAGAACTTTCTTCTAGCAAACTTGTATTATAATACATGTTAAAGAAAGTTCTTCAAGTTAAAAGTAAGTGATGGCAGAAAGTAATTAGAGTTAGCACACACACGCACGAAAAGCACTGGTTAAGATAATTATGTAATTATAAAGACTGTATGAATGCATAATTCTTATCATTCCTTCTTTTAACTAAAGAGAAATTGTATAAAACTATTGTTGGGCCTATAATATATAGAAACGAATATGTTTTCAATAGAAACAAAAAGGAAGTGGATGTAAGCAAAACTATTTGAATAAGGAAATGAAACTAGATAGAAACTCGAATTCATGGAAACAAATGAAGAGACGAAAATGCTTCTTTTCCCCTCTCTCCATATCTATCTATCTATCTATCATCTATCTGTAAATATGTCTATATATCTCTATATAAAGTAATGATCAGAGAAGAATAAATATATCTAGATACACTTCTCTGACATTACTTTTTTCTTTAGCTAGTTTCCTAAAGGGAATTCACCAAATTCAATCTGCATAGATTAACCTCAATTTTAAGTTATATTAATATACCCTCAATAAATTGAATAGTTTAGGTAATAATAAATATATTTAAAAATATTTAAACTTATTTTGATTTGATTTTTTGACACTAGAGAGTATATTTGCAGGGAGAGAAATGGGTGCGGGGATGCAGTTGTCAAGTGTCTGATCTGGGAGCAGAAGAAAAGGTAAGGTCTATCCCAACTCCAGGTTTACTGGGACGTGTCAAATAACACCCTCCGCCCTGCAAATAAAACAGTCACCTCTTGAGAGGGCTTCTGATGATTGCATTTAAAACAAGAAAGCCTCAAAAATATAAAACAAGGATTTGAGAAGTTTTCCAATTACAGACGTTGAATTTCTGAGGTCACATTGGCAATCTTGAGGGGAGAACTTCAGGGAGGGATGAGCCTTAGTGTCAGATTAAGAGATGTGCAAATCCACTTCTTATCCAAACGTTCTGGATAAATGAGATGCCTTGTGAGATCTAGAATTCTTCGATGACTGTGGGAAACAAAAATGTAGGTCATGATAGGATCTTTCCTGGTTGTTTTTTAGAAAAACATGATAATTGACCTTATTAAAATCACCTTTGAGAAGATGGCACTAGCGAAGGAGACAGCTTTAAGAGGGGAACAGTTCAATATATGGCCTTGTTAGAAGCAAGTCAATCTGTGGGGCCAGGGGTTTTGTTAGGGAAGTTTTAAAATGAGACTATAAACAGTTAAATTGAGCAATATTGTTTTTATCATTATTTGTTTTATAAAAAAATAGAAATGTATTACAGATACTTCTCTAATTATTAGCGTTTTTCTCTAACTAGTTTCCTAAAGGGAATTCTCCAAATCCAATTTCCACAGATAAACCTCAGTTTTTTTTTTTTTTTTTTGAGACAGAGTTTCATTCTTGTTGCCCAGGCCGGAGTGCAATGGCATGATCTTGGCTCACTGCAACCTCTGCCTCCCGAGTTCAAGCAATTCTTCTGCCTCGGCCTCCCAAGTAGATGGGGTTACAGGAGTGGGCTATCAGGCCCAGCTAATTTTTTTTTTTTTTTTTTTTTTTGTATTTTTAGTAGAGATGCGGTTTCACCATGTTGGTCAGGCTGGTCTTGAACTCCTTGACCTCAAGTGGTCCACCCACTTAGGCATCCCAAAGTGCTGGGATTACAGGCATGAGCCACTGCGCCCTGCAGATAAATTTCAATTTTAAGCTATATTAATATATTCACAATTAATTGAATAGTTTAGGTAATAAATATCCTTTTAAAATTTTAAACTTATGTTGATTTTATTTTATTGACTCTAGAGATAAATCTGTATAATTACCACTAAAGGTTGCTTTTCCTTTTAAGATGGATTCCTGAGACTATGATAGGTGAACTTTCTGGGACAAAATACCATTCAAGTTTATGTTAACACATAATGACAGACTGCCTTCTAAGACATCAATTACCACTTACAAAAAAAAGTGATATATTCTCTTCATTCCTTGTTATGTATATTATCATAAATTTTATTTTACTGTTTCCCTCGTTTGATGGGTGAGATGTTTCATATTATTTCAGTTTAATTTCTTTGAATCCTAGAACTGTTGACACTCAATTTATTTATTTTTTTGCCATTTACATTTGCTCTTCTGTGAATTCTTTTCAAATAATTTGCATATACCATATTTTATTGTAAAATTTATTATGAATTTATAGAAATATTTATTCTAGATAGATAATATGACACGTTTTTTTTCTACTAATGTAGTAACATTGTCTATAGCAGCATTTCCAATAATAGTCATTTCCCAGTTTTGATATCTTAGTCACACTGTCAATTCAAGCATTTGAAATGTGTCTGCTGGCTCTATATTGGGCTGTTCTGATATAGAACATTTCCATCACCTCAGAAAGTCCTACTAGACAACACTGGGCTATAGAATGTATAATTTTGTAGGGCATCAAATATGACTACATCTTATAGCCTTTGAGTTTCCTGGCTGGTCTATAAAAAACTTCTATCTGTATAATATATGCATAATTTTCCAAATCCTTTGCTAAGAGTTATTTTATGTTTTACATTTAAATGTTCAGATCCTGGAATTAATGATGTGTGAAATAAGGGTCTAGTCATATTGAAAAATTTTCCCCATATGAGAATAAAAACCACTTATTACCAAAACCTGAGGCCTTATGTATATATATATATTATGTACTAATATATGTTTTTGAGTATTATATTATTTTCCATTGATCTACTTTTCTGTTCCTGAGTCAATACTGAAATCTTGCTATTGGCATTGCCTTAGAATTTTTTTATTGTATGGATTGAAATAGGCCTCATTATTTTTAATATATATATTTTAAAATTATTTTTATATGATATTCTTTCATATGGCCATTAACATCATTGTATTCAATCCCCAAGGAAATTTTTATTGACATTCCATTTGCAATTTAAGAACCTCAAAATATTTAATTTTGGAGAATTGATGTTTGTAAATTTTTAATTTTTCTGGGTACATAGTAGGTATACATATTTACAGAGTATATGAGATGTTTTGATTCAGGCATGCAATATGAAGTAATCACCTTATGAAGAGTGGGCTATGCACCCCTCAAGCATTTATCCTTTGTGTTACAAACAATCCAATTATACTCTTTTAGTTATTTTAAAATGTACAATTCGGTCATTATTGACTATAATCCCCCTGTTGTGCTATCAAATAGTAGGTCTTGTTTATTCTTTTTATTTTTTGTACCATTTAACTGTCTCCACCTGCCCCCCCAGCCCCCTACCCCCTTCCCAGTCTCTGCAGGAGGAGCTGTACTTTTATCAGACAAAACAGATTTCAAGACAAAAACCATAAGATGAAACAAAAAAAAGGTCACTATACAATAATAAAAGGGCTGATTCAGCAAGAGGACACAACAATTTTAAATATATATGTACCCAGCACTGGAGCACCCAGATATATAAAGCAAATATTATTAAAGAACTGATTTTTATCACATTATGTCTTCCCTTCTTAGAATTTAGTTCTAATCTTTATACCTGCATTTTATATTTTACTGATATTATTTGTTAATTCTAAAAAAATTGTCCTTTCCTTCTTTTTCTTATCTACCTTTCTTCTCACTTTGATTCAATTTCAACTAATTCTGTTACTTTATTATAGGATGAGGACTTCCTTTTATCTGTTGAGGATGCAAAATATCTTTAGATGCTTTTATTTCATTTTATAATACCTCATTTTGAGAGGTACCTCTTTGTTCAGATTCTCCCAAATACTCTGCCTCTTGTCTTGTTCTATTTTTTTTTTAAAGACTTCATGATAATTTATCTCCACTCATTCTGGAATTAGGAGAGAGCTACCCAAGCAGTGATTTCATGACTGTGGATAAGTTATTTGAGCAGCATAATTATGCCATCTCTATTTTTTTTTACACTCATCATATTTTTAGCTCTGCAATGGGAGGAAGGAAGAATGATGCTCACAGTTTTTAATTTGATCATAATTCCCAAATCACAGCTGGACTTTACCTAGGTACCTTCACTTTGCTATAATTTTGTTTTTCTCATTCTCCTGTCTTCTGATTCTCAGTTCATCATTTGACAGATGATATGGAAACCTGCTGTTAATCTGATCTAATGTATGAAAGAACTGACCTCATATTTTAGCAGAATTTTTACTTTCACACTCAATCCACAGCTCTACACAGACATGTGTGTATGCACACACATGCATACACACGCTTGCTACTAAAGTCTATTTCTGTGACCATTAACATTATTGATTTCCTTGCAAATATTTTTTTCTGGAATATGTCGTTAAAATGAGAATTATATTTTGTGAATGTGAAAGAGATGAATCTTAATTTCCCACTAAAATTATCTTCTAATTGCAGCTTTCTTTTTTGAAACTGAGACACTAGAAAATGATATGATTTGAGATCTTAAGCCAGGCATTATGGTTGATAGAAAGCTAGATTAGGTCATAGCATTCTTCTCAAAGTGTAGAGAAGATTCTAACGAAGAATATGACTGAGACACATCAACCCATTTCTATCCCAAAGGTTCGTAGCCAATGGAAGAAAAATATCCCGCCAGATCAAAAAGCTGTCAGTCTACTGTGTTCTGAATTTTCTCTTCAGTGGTAACAGTTCTACAGAAGATGATCCATAAGGTAGTTAGAAAGTGTGGGCCGGGCGCGGTGGCTCACGCCTGTAATCCCAGCACTTTGGGAGGCCGAGGCGGGCGGATCACGAGGTCAGGAGATGGAGACTATAATGGCTAACACGGTGAAACCCAGTCTCTACTAAAAATACAAAAAATTAGCCAGGCATGGTGGCGGGCGCCTGTAGTCCCAGCTACTTGGGAGGCTGAGGCAGGAGAATGGCGTGAACCCGGGAGGCGGAGCTTGCATTGAGCCGAGATCACCCCACTGCACTCCAGCCTGGGCCGAAAAGCGAGACTCTGCCTCAAAAAAAAAAAAAAAAAAAAAAAAAAGTGTGCCCAGGGAAAAATCTCTTTATGATACAGTTGCCCCTTTAGAATTCTTGTCTAAATCTTAAATGACCACATCTAAGTAAACTTAGGTGCTCTGAGAGGTTAGATGGGGTAAAGCTGTGTGGTTATTTCCTGAACCAATCTAGGTTTTCCAGGAAGAACTTAGAGGCGGCCTGAAACGCCTGCCTTAAAAGGAACCACCATTTATGGTGAGGAGCAGAATCAGGCGGGGTGCACTATCTAGGTCATGGAGGATGTGGCGTAGTTTCAGATGGTTTGTCACAAGACAGAGCGCAGTATACATCTGTGATTGTTAGAGCTGAGGAGCCTAAATCATAAGTTATGTCACTGCTCCACTTAAGCTTCGGGAACATATAGGGTTCCAGGATAAAAAAGTGACAGATGACAGAGCTGCATGCACACTGCACGGATCAGGAAGTCCTTTAATATGTGTGACACAATCATAGAAAACCGGCACTATTTCAGGGAGGGGGACAAGGTGGATGGAGGCCAGGTAAAATAGGAGAGACTGACTATTACCATAAAGAGACTCTTTAAGTCATCAAATACAGTTATAAACTTCATACGAATAAATTCAGTTTCTTTTTAATTACCCATTGATGGGAGTTTATGATAATAAATTATAAAAAATAAAAAGGTCTTTGTTCATTATGATTATAGTGTGAATATATTTACAACCTTAATATATTGTCTTTGACATGTCAAAGAAAATGTTAAGTGAGAAGCATAGTGATAAGGAACACTTAAATGCAAAATAATAATAATAATAATAATAATTCCAGGTCATGACCAGGAATCTACAAAAATTTAAAAGGGTAATATGAATGTAAATTAGAGTGGGAATTTAATTTGTCCCAGGAGATTCCTGATTTATGCCTCCTTGTCCTGGCTGAATTATTAATAACACAAATTACAGTATTAAAATGTCCCAGATTGGTTAGATCTCTATAAATATCTTGTCAGAGTAGAAAACAAGGAAGTTATCAAAGACTACTGAGGTAATTTACAAAGGGATAAGGGGTCAGTTTGAAGAAGTTTCTACAGGTCAGGAATGCCACAACTGAGTGCCAAAAAGAGTAATGATGCAATGGATTGAAATGCATCAATATTTTAAATTGATGTATGTGATGGTTAATGTTATCAACTTGATTGAATAGAAGAATGCAAAGTATTGTTCCTGGGTGTGTCTGTGAGGGTGTTGCCAAAGGAGATTAACTTTTGAGTCAGCGGACTGGGAGAGGCAGACCCACCCTCAGTCTGGGTGGGCACCATCTAAAATCAGCTGCCAGCACAGCTAGAATAAAGCAGGCAGAAGAAGGTGGAAGGAGCAGACTTGCTGAGTCTTCTGGCCTTCGTCTTCCTTTCGTGCTGGAGCTTCCTGCCCTCGAACATCAGACTCCAAGTTCTTCAGGTTTTGAACTCTTGGACTTACACCAGCGGCTTGCCACATGGTCTCAGGCCTTCAACTACAGACTGAAGGATACCCTGTTGGCTTCCCTACTTTTGCGGTTTTGGGACTCAGACTGGCTTCCTTGCTCCTCAGTTTGCAGTTGGCCTATCGTGGGACTTCACCTTGTGATCATGTGAGTCAATTCTCCTTAATAAACTCCCTTATAACTCCCTTATACATCTATCCTATTAGATGTAAACTCCCTTACACATCTATCCTATTAGATGTAAACTCCCTTACACATCTATCCTATTAGATGTAAACTCCCTTACACATCTATCCTATTAGATGTAAACTCCCTTACACATCTATCCTATTAGATGTAAACTCCCTTACACATCTATCCTATTAGTTCTGTCCATTTAGAGAACCCTGACTAATATAATACACCTTTTTCCAAAATTATTACTGCTCATGAGTTAAGAAATTTAGAATATTATGATATTTGCAACCCTAATAAGATATAGGAATTCTAGGCGTAATCATCAATGCATTACAAATAGAAGACAACTAAATAACACGGGTCTCCTGATTAAAAAAACCAACCAACCTCTGAAGCATTCTTTCTTGTGGTGGTAGGGGCGGGGGTGGGATTTAATCAGATCTCTAAATATATTTGCCAATTTGGAAGTAATATCATGACAAAGGCATTGTTTAAACAATTCGACAATGGCAATGAGAAAAATCCAGAACGTTGATAACTCTATAACCATTTTATTCAATAAATAAACTATGATAGGAATAAAGAGAATGTATTTCGATGTTATTAGGGAGTTATCCTTTTTTGTTCTGGGTTTATTAACAGTGTTTTGAATATATTTTTATGTCTATTTTTTACTGTATATGCTAGCATGCTTATGAATGAAACTGTACAATATTGGAATTTGCTTCAAAGTTATTCATGGGAGTGATAGAAGTATGTGGAGTAGAAATAAAACAACATTGACTATGAATAGATAATTGTAGAAAACAGTAAATTACTATGTGTGTAATCACTAAATATTTTTTATTTTTAAAAATATCTTTAAGGTTTCTTATAACAAAACTTAAAATCCAGTCCTGTTTTCCTTCAAACCAGTTCTAGTATTTGGGATTTGCCGAGGTAATTATTTTGATTAAATAGAGGTAATGGTTGGCTAAGCGGAAATTCACTTCTTAAAGGCAGCAACTGATGTCAGAAGTAATATCATGGTGTTTTGTCACTAATTCTAAGATGAGACCCTCATTGACTTTCCTTGATATATGAATTGCGGCAGAAGATTTTTATTATGCAGGCTGTGTTACATATACAGAAAGAAATCAAAGAAATCTTTGATTAGGCTCCTGACTTTTGTTTGTTGATTTGTTTAATGCAGTATTTATTTAAACACATGCCAGTAAATGAAAGCAGGATGTTTCACATTTGTCATTTTAGCAGAGAGAAAATGTTAAGAACAATGTAAGTGTAAGTAAATCATTTAAGGTTTAAACAAAAATGAAATGAGTGTTCTAAGTTGTACGTTGTTTCATTTGGGATCTTGAGTTATGCCATATGCTCCACTTTTATGTTCCAAAGATAAGATATTCATAGGATGTCTGCTCAATGGATCTTTGACCCATATTATTATAAGTATTACAGATAATTCTCCAATTGCCTATGACTTCATATGTTGTGTTTCACCTATAAAAATATCACTGAATAAGTATCAATTTATTGGGGGGGAGGATATAATTAAAGTGGTATTATTCTAATATTCTCCAATATTAAATTTTGTTCATCAAAGAGTAGCATATGTGTGTAAGCTCAAATGGGATGTCATTAGACAAGAATTCTTTCAGAAGAGCTTTTAACATAAGCACGGGATATATATATACATAACTAGGACAATATAAAATAATACACTCAAGAATACATAAATAAATAGATCATGAAGGGAAGCAAGCTAGGTAAGGAAGAGAAAGACAAGATCTATAGAGCTAGGTTGCTTTATTCCGGATTTAGCAAATGTCTCTGAAAATTTAAACAATCTGTACTCCGAGTAACTGGTAACTTAAAATAGTTTGGATGCAACTTATACTAAAATTCTTTTATGTTATACAATGAAATAAGTTAAATATAAAAGGCAAAGCCCTGCTTTTTCATCTAACAAATATAAACCATATTTAAACATAAATATTGACTTAATGGTGAGTATATTTTCAACAAATAAGTGGTCATTTTCTGAGATTTTAAAAATTAGAAAATATTATGTAATGTCTAGATTTTAAAGTTTCAACATATATATATGCCATATATAAACATATATATGGCATATATATAAACATATATGGCATATATATATAAACATATATGTATGTTTATATATATATGCCATATATATAAACATATATATGGCATATATATAAACATATATATATATATGCCATATATATATAAACACATATATATATATGTTCAGTGTGTCTCATATATATGTTTATGCTGGCATAAACATTTTAAGAGCACATGCTTCAATGCAGGCATCACTTAGAGATAATGCAGATTCCATCCCAGACTACTAGAATAAAGTGAATATCACAATAAAGCTGGTCACACAAATTTTGGGGTTTTCCAGTGTATATAAAAGTTATGTTTATACTATCCTGTAGTGCTTTAAGTGTGAAATAGCATTCTGATTAAAATAAAAAATTTACATACCTTAATTAAGAAAAGACTTTGTTGCTAAAATAAGCTGACATCATTAGAGCCTTCAGTGTGTTAACATCATTAGAGCCTTCAGTGCGTCATAATCTTTTTTGCTGGTGGAGGGTTTTGCCTGGATGTTGATGGCTGCTGAGTGATTAGGATGGTGGTTGATGAAGGTTGAGGAGGCTGTGACAAATTCTTAAACTAAGACAACAATAAACTTTGCCACATCAATGGACTGTTTCTTACATGAAATATTTCTCAGTAGCAGTTTACTCATAGTAGAACTTATTTTAAAATTGGAGTCAGTCCTCTCAAATCCGGACCCTTCTTTATCAACTGAGTTTATGTAATATTCTAAACCCTTTGTTGTCATTTCAATAGTGTTCACAGTATCTTCACCAGAAGTAGATTGCATCTCAGGAAACCACTTCCCTTTGCTCATCCATTAGAAGCAACTACACATTTGTTAAAGTTTTATCATAAGATTGCAGCAATTCAGTCACATCTTTAGCTTGCATTTCTAACTCTAGCTCTCTTGCTATTTCCAGGACATCTCCAAGAACTTCGTTCACTGAAGTCTTAAACCCCTCACAGTGACCCATGAGGATTGGAATCAGCTTCTTTCAAACTCTTACTATTGTTGATATTTTGATCGCTTCCTATGAATCGTGAATATTTTAATGACATCTAAAATGTGACTCCTGGCCGGGCACAGTGGTTCACGCCTATAATCCCAGCACCTTGGTAGGTCAAGGCGAGAGGATCATTTGAGGTTAGAAGTTTGAGACCAACCTGACCAACATGGTGAAACCCTGTCTCTACTAAAAATAGTAAAAATTAGCTGGGCGTGGTGGAGAATGCCTGTAATTTGAGCTATATGGGATACTCAGCCAGGAGAATCGCTTGAACCTGGGAGGTGGAGATTGCAGTGAGCCGAGATCGCGCCACTGCACTCCAGCCTGGGTAACAAAGTGAGACTCCACCTCAAAATAAATACATAAATAAAATAAAATAAAATGGTGTCTCCTTTCCAGTTTTCAATTTACTTTGCCAAGATCTATCATAGGAATTGTTGCCTATGGCATCTACAGCCTTATGAAATGTATTTCTTAAGTTATAAGACTTAAAAGTTGAAATTACCCCTTAATTCATAGGCTGCAGGATGGATGCTGTGTTATCAGGCATAGAAACAATAGTAATCTACTTGTACATCTCCATTAGGGATCTTGGGTGACCAGATGCATTGCCAATGAACAATAATATTTTCAAATGAATCTTTTTTTCTTATTAGATCTCAAAGGTGGGCTTAAAATATTCAGTAAACCGTGCTGCAAACAGATTTGCTGTCAGCCAGCCTTTGTTGTTCCGTTTATAGAGCACAGGCAGAATAGACTTAGCATAATTCTTAAGGACTGTAGGATTTTTTGTATGGAAAGTGAGCATTGGCTTCAACTTAAAGTCCCCAGCTGCATTAGCCTCTAACGAGAGTGTTACTCTATCTTTTGAAGATTTGAAGTCAGGTAATCCTCTCTAGCTATGAAAGTTCTAGGTGACATCTTCCTCCAATATAAGACCTATTTTATCTACATTGATAAGTGTTTTGTGTAGCCACTTTCATCAAATATCTTATCTAGATCTTCTAGTTGACTTGTTATAGCTTCCATATCAGTACTTGCTGCTTCACCTTTCACTGCTATGTGACAACGATGACTTCTGTCCTTAAACTTCATGAACCAACCTCTTTTAGCTTCAGATTTCTTCCTCAGCTTCTTCACCTTTGTCAGCCTTCATGGAATTGAAGAGAGTTAGGGCCTTGCTCTGGATTAGACTTTGGCTTAGGAAATATTGTGGCTGTTTCATTCTTCTATCTAGACCATCAAACTTTATCCATATCCTAGCAACAAGGCTGTTTCACTTTCTTATCATTCATGTATTCCCTGAAGAGGCACTTTTAATTTCCTTAAGGAACTTTTCCTTTGCATTTACAATTTGGCTCTTTGGCCCAAGAGGCCTAGTTTTTGATCTGTCTTGGCTTTTGATATGCCATCCTCACTAAGTTTATAATCAGTTCTAGATTCTGATTTAGAGTGAGAGACTTGAGATTCTTCCTTTTACTTGAACACTTAGAGGCCATTGTAGGGTTATCATTAACTGACCTTATTTCAATATTAAATTGAAATGTCTCAGGGAATAGGGAGCCGAGAAGAGACGGAGAGAAACAGGGGAACAGCCTGTTGGTGGTGCTGTCAGAACACACACATTTATGATTAAGTTTGGCATTTTGTATCGGCGTGATTTGTGGTTACCCAAAATGATTACAACAGTAACATTAAATAACACTGATCACATATCATTAAAATTGATATAATAGTAATAATAAATTTTGAAATGTTGCAAGAATTACACAGAGACATGAAGTGAGCACATGTCATTGAAAAAAAATGACACCAATAGACTTGCTGGAGGCGGGGTTGCCACAAACCTTTAGTTTGTAAAAACACAGTATTGGATAAGTGCAATATCTGGGAGGCACAGTAAAAATAGGTTTGCCCATACCTCCAATGCCCCAGTGTTTTCAACACTGAAGTCTTTATTAAAGGAATTTATAGTCTGCTTAAAACTTGATCATTTCTTCACTTTAGTTTATTACGGCAAGGGAAGAAGAATTAAAAGTTGTTCTGGCAGTAATTGTTGAAAAGTCACAATTTTAAACATTTCTACTATTGAGAGGTCCCATTGTGATTAATGTTGTTAAAAAACTATCAATTTTTTTAAATTAATTTATTTTTCCCCAATGAAAGAATTTTCATTTATTTTATAGTATTTTAATGTTATTTAACATAAATTTATAATTTTTGAGTGTGAATGTATGTATACTTACATGTTACATAGACAATTTACAATTTATTTTTCTATGCAGTATTTGTTCATAGCTCTAGCATATTTCTGTTTTTTTTAATTCTAGCTTTGAGAAGCTCATATATATTTAGGATATGCTTTGCAAATATTTCTCAGTGTGTGGTCTGCCTTTTTACCCAGCTATGTTGATTTTTTTTAATTAAAAAAAATTGTATATGATCAAATATGTGACTATGTTCTTTTTAAGTACTTGGAAGTTTGTGTAATAGCACGTATTTTCACTTAACTGTGAGTGAATCATACATGTTTTCTTCTGTCACTCGTCTAATTGTTTTTTAATATTAAAATCTCTGTCTACTTGAAGTACACATCCTCATGTATGATATAAGGAAGAGATCCAATTTTAACTTTCTCCACATGACTCTAGTTATTCCAGAACCACTTATGTAAAACACCATCCTTTCCATGCTAATTTGAGATTTTCGCTTTATCATATATGAAATTTCCATAGTCAATTTTTTTTTTTTGGCATTTCAAGAAAGATTTCTTAGGTAGATAATGTTGTGCAAATGACTATAAAAATGGCAATAAGATTGCCTATTCGGGTACAAATAGACTTGTTTTTTTTCTAGAAAGGCTAGAAAGGCAATGCTTAGTATAGCAAACCAAAAGCAAATGAGGAAAAACTTCTATTTGTTTTTCCCCTGATGTCCGCAGTATATCTTCCAACATTCAAAATAGCACTGGCTTATTTGGTATTTTAAAAAATCCTGCTTGGCAGTTCCATAATGAGAAGAATTTGTCTTTGATTCCCAAAATTGAATCCTAATCTTTTATCTACTACCGTTATAGGTAATCAGGTGATGTTCTAGGCCATGACACAATCTATAAACTAATAATTTTATGTTACATCCTCAAACTACCAGGTTTTTATTCCTAACAAATGGGCTGGATCACTTGTGATAAGAAACACTTCCTGGTAGCCTAGAGGCAAACCAGAGTCCCAGCAGCCCCGGTAACCTCCTTCAGTTTGTCACCTCGTCTACATGCTAACCTCAACTATTACAACATTATTGGCTCCAAGTTAGGCACATTGAGGGATAATAAACATTTCCTTTGTGCTAGAGATAATAGCTCCTCTATGCATTCAGTTTTCCTCCCTGACCCCGATACTTTTTAGAGGGTGAGTGGGAAGTGAACAACTTCACAGGTGGTTGAGAGCCTGGGCTACTTTTTTCCTACCAGCTAAACAGCAAAATGTCAGTAGCCAAGTGCCAAAGATAACACATTAGTGTTCATTTTAATAATACTTATCACATTTTTTTTTACGTATCTAGCATGAGCTTCTCCTTTTTAAAAATAGAGACATAGACCCGCTTAAAGAAGCAGTCTGGCTGTCCCTTGGCAGAGCAGGTGCTTTGCACTGACTGGCCACTCCAGAGCCAGCAGCCTGGAAAGACTAATTTGGCTGAATGGCAGAGACAGCGGCTGCTGCCCCACCCTGCAAGGACTCCATCCCAGGGAGAGATCAGAGATCTGTTGCTATAACCCTGGTTGGAGCTGCTGAAATTCCCACAGCGAGGCCCCAAACAGTGAGGAGATATGGCTTGTTGTGGGCGGGGAAGGTGGTTAGGGTGGGAGGCGGCAGGGGTAGTGGGGAAGGAGAGCATCAGGAATAATAGCTGATGGATGCTGGGTTTAATACCTGGGTGATGGGCTGATCTGTGCAGCAAACCACCATGGCACGTGTTTACCTATGTAACAAACCTGCACATCTTGCACACGTGCCCCAGAACTTAAAATAAAAGTTGAAGAAAAAAATAAAAATAAAAATAGAGACATAATAGGTCCACTTTATAAGATTAGGAATAAAATGAACAGCAGGGAATAATATGTATGCATTTATTGACTCGTTTCCTCTAGAGTCCTTTAAACGGATGCTTTTTAAGATGTTTCTTTTTCTTACTCTTGAATTGAGCCAATGTCTCCATAATACTGACAGAACTAGGCCTCCACTGACAGAAAGCATAGACAGCTCAAGGATGGCAGGGAATCAGAGACTGACGAGGGTGTCGTGAATGATTCCAGGGGTTCCTAGCAACACAAAATAAGGATAAGCTGTCGATGAACATGGCCTATGTATTCAAAGGTAGTGTGAGAACAGACTATGCACCTATCCAGCTAGCAGGATGTTTGATGTCACAGAGATCTCACAGGAAGCTGTGCAGATAGCAGGGAGGCTCTCTACTATGGAGGTGTTTTGTATCTGGCAATAGGTAAAATGGAGGGAAGGATCTGGTCAACAATATATAAATACTTAAAATTAAAAACCATTCTCTACTAGGTCAGTAAAGTCATAAACAATCTTTCTTTAAAAAATGCTACATTTAAATGAAATGCCATATAAGCATGGCATTATGCATGAAAGTAGTTAGAAGATGCTTTTCTCAGTAATATAGCTAATACTCCGGGAAGCTTCAAAATTATTTTTAAAATTTTATGCAGAATATAAGACTATGTGTACTAGAAGTATTTTAAAATAATTAATTGCTCGTTCTTTATGTAGTCCAAAGCTAAACTATTATGTCTTCCAAGTCAATATAGTATTTGAAATTAAAGTATTAAAAATTAACTTTCCATAATTACTCTTCATTGAAATGAATTACTTAAAACTAATATGTAATGACTCTGATACTCATTTTCCTTTTTGATCTTTGGTAAGTCCTTTAATCTCTTTACATAGTCTGAGAATTCTACATAGAAAATATTCTTCCTCAAGAACAGAATGGTCTCCTTTGATACAGAAGAAATGTAGAAAAGGAAGGATTATAACTCAGTAGAGTGTTAGGAATGGAGTATCAGTTTTTAATTTATCTGTTTAACAGGCTTTTTCTTCTAACTCGAAGGATTCCATAATTTCCTCCATGCTTCAGTTTCTTCCTAAGAAATATATTAACAGATATTGTTTTAAAAAAATAAAGAAAAGATCAGTATTGCTTCTCCTCAACTTTTATCATCCTATGCCAGGAAGTCCGAATGATTTTCTTGGTGTTGAGAATGATTAACCAGAGATTAGAGGGAAAAAATGCAATAAAAATCTTTATCACCCTATTCCAAATAATGGTCTGGGATAGGCCATACTTTTGTGAATATATTTTAAAATAAGTCTTCCTTCCTGGACACAATCAACACATGCAGTTGATGCTGTCACTAGTTAATTTCATCAACTGTTCATAACTGTCTTTAGATCATCACATAATTTAGGATTATTATTATTCTTTTTTATGAGACGGAGTCTCACTCTGTCACCCAGGCTGGAGTGCAGTGGCGCGATCTCGGCTCACTGCATGTTCCGCCTGCCGGGTTCAAGCCATTCTCCTGCCTTAGCCTCCCAAGTAGCTGGGACTACCGGTGCCAGCCACCACACCCGGCTAATTTTTTTTTGTATTTTTAGTAGAGACAGAGTTTCACTGTATTAGCCAGGATGGTCTCGATCTCCTGCCCTCGTGATCCACCCCCTCTCGGCCTGGGATTACAGGCGTGAGCCATCGCGCCCAGCCAGGGTTATTTTTAATAAGAACAGATCTATTATAAATGGAACTGCTGTTTATAAGTTTCCTAGCATTGAAGACACATATCAATGGCTTTAAGTCTGTAGCTGAATATATTTGCATTTTCTTTAAAAAAAAAAAAAGGCACGCACAGGACGAAGAAGGCATGGTGAATAACCATTTTTAATTTGGAAACTCTATTGCTATATTCTCCACCATTGAGTTTGGAGACGTTGACAGTCATCAATTGGTAGTTCATACCTGTTAAGCATTTTACATACATCTGAACTGTTACTAAAGGGAGACATTCAGTAGATTGCCTCTATAATCATTCAAAATAGATCCTATTTATTTACACTTAAAAATAAAAGTACTATGTTCAGCATAGAGGCAACATCTCTAGGCAAATTTTCCAAGAAGCTTAAATATTGTTTTCAATCATTTTGTTACTATGACATTAAGGTCTAAGCATGCCATATGATTTTCTTCTTTTTATAAGTGATAATGTTCTAAAGAAGCACAATGTATTCGTGCCAACACCATGAATAACTCTACAGACACTTGCAATACATTTAATTTTGCTTAACGAACTACCAGGCACATTCATCTCCTTAGTGACTTAAAGCAAATTAGTAATCTTGAAAGTAATGTACCAGATATAAATTGAGACAGTCCACTTACTTTAAAACAGCAACAAAAATAATTTTCAAGTGTATTATTAATCTAAAAATATGTTTGCCTTATTGAAAAATTAAAAGATCAAGTAGATACATGTGCGGTTAATTATGGTTGACTTTAAGTCCCAGACAAAGGAAAGCTCCACCATACGAATATATGTTTAAGAATTGTAACTCTTCATATGATAGCCAGAATATACTTTTATAATGGGGGTGGTAGGATGTTTTCATAGCTAATACATCTTTAGCTATGTGTAATAAGTGATTTTTGTTTCATTTTTACTGAACTGGATGCTTTACAAAAATAGAATTACAAAATCTAATTATAACAGACTAAATAATAGATCATCTTGAGAATTCAAATATGCTTTTTGCCCCTACACAGAGAATATAATGAACTTTCTAATATATCAGAAAAAGAAAGTTAACAATTATATATTGGTCTTTATGTCTCAAATAAGGTTGCTCTGAAACTGAAACCCACAGGTTTGTTCTTCAGGTGACAGATTCATCCTTAAAGTAGAAAATGGAAGTTCACTAGATGAAGATAAGTGAGTGGAAATTTGTCTTTAGTAAACAGCATCCATTTCTTCTTATGACTACCAAACTCTGTTTTTACTTATTCTAGATTTGGGTATCATAAATTGTACTCCCTCCTCATTCTAGCGATCAGATGATATTTTTAACATATTGTAAATAGAAAATTTGCCATCCCGACATAGCCAGTCTTGAATTTATTGCACTAGTCAATTTCCCTTTCTTTAGAAATTGATAATTCTTGGCTGAACAAATACAACTGAGTTTCTGAAATCCTAAAACAAACAACTGGATATCAAGACATCAATGTGAGTGTGACATGACAAAAAGTACAGTTACATCATGTCAGTAAATATAATAATAAAACAAATTAATGAGATAAAACAGTAGTTACTGTTATCTTTATGAGAAGAGGGAAGCATTCAATATAACTTTTCTTAAAAGTAGGATATTAGATAAAGAAAAAATTAAACTTGATTTTACATGAAACACATCATACTAAAATATTAATTTACCTTTTATTCTTCAGGAAAAATATATTTTTCAAAATCTAATACAATGTTATGCTTTGTAAAAAGTAGTGCTATTGTGGATATCTGTTATTATGCATAATAGAATTGCAGCCCAATTTTATTATCATGTTTAAAGGTGATATTTAAAAAGTCATAATTAAGGTTTAAAAGAAGATAAAAACAGAACTGTGTTTTTGACTCTTTAAAATGCTAATTTCGTTCTATTAATTTAAAGTGGATCACAAAAATTATTCATGGATGAATGTATAAAGGAAAAACCTTAACCATTCAGTTCTTGGTTCACTCTTGATATAAACTTCCTGGCAGCTAAATTGTTATTCATAACTTGATAGTAGCCAAACAATACATTGGCACCTCAAATTCTTTTTAGGATGAGGCAGGCATAATGAACAAGGGGAAAAAAGTGGGAACAATTTAAGGTTTCTACAAAACATGATTTTGACTTATCTACAAGACTCACATAGACAATTTACATGTACTTTAAATATTTCAGATGAATAGGGTAATAAAACTCAGAATAAGTACTGTCCAAATTTTCAGTTTCATCTCTAATTATGTCAGCAAATTGTACAGAGGAAACTCCTTGCTTAAGAATATCCTGTCTAGGTAGGTTTTCATTTCTGTAAGTAAAGGGAATTCACTCCTCCTGAATTGCTTAAAGGTTTCCAGCTGTGGTGTGTGAAATATAGTATAGTTTATGTGTTTTGTGATTCTCACAGTGAGAATCTAGACAACTTTCCTTGCTTTTCAACCTTTAGGACTCTGCAATAATTCTAAAGTTACACCTACAAGGTGGTAAACTGAAACAACTGTCCAGATGCTAGATTAAATATCAGTGTTGGCTAAGATTTGTGGAAAGCTTACTTTTTACATAAGATTTAGCAGTGAAACTTTCTAAGCAGAAGCAGATCTCTAATCCTGCTTTTACCTGCGTGCACATATTGCCTCTTTCTTGGCTACCTGACAAAAAGAAGACTGTCAGCTTTTCAGCTCTCTGAGTATGGGTTTCTTTGTGTCCAATCTAGTTTTCCAGGAGAGTAAAGAAGACCCAGGTGGTCAGGTTGTTGAGGATATGATAAAAAATAACTTTATTTCTCTCGAGTATATTTGCCCATGTGAGTGAATTCTTAACCACATTTTATGAATTCCTGTCTCTTTACATTTGTGGTATCTTTTGTCCAAAAGGAGGTTTCTATTTTTACAGTGTGCTTACTACACTTCTTTTTATCATTTTGGCTTCTGACTCTGTCCAGTGTTGTTAGATAAAAAACAAATAGTAACATGTTCCACATTTTCTGTGTTGTTTTCCACAAATGGCCAAGTTCATGTATTGCAGAAGGTGTGACCACAGAAAGCCAGGATCCTCAAAATCCTACTTTATGTGCCTAGCACGATAACTTCACAGATGCTCCTTTTGAAATGATAAAAACAAGCAAACAGACAAAAAGTATACCAACATAATATCCTGGAATTTGATTAACCACAATCTTTATAATCACATGATTAACCTAATAAAAATTTTCAGAAATCTATCGGGGTAAAATGGGCTCTGGCATCATGAAGAAAATAGATAAGGCACTAAACGTTTCAGGAATTTCATAATCTTCTCCTCACATGTCAGGCCTTAATATTAATAAACAGAATTTTCTTTCTTCCTCAAAAAAATCGTTAGGCAGCAAAATAATTTGCTTTCCTAATTAAATAAAACGGATCTCTGTAGGTTTCATTTTAGTGTAATTGGCACCATTCTACCTCAGTTTTAATATGTTTGTACAGATTAACATTGAACCTGATAAATTTTTAAAATAGGAAATTGATGTATTGGGCATATGACAAGACCTGGACTTTGTCAAATGCTACCAGGGAAAACAATGCTTCTATTTTTCTCAATATGACATCCAGCAAGCTTATCTGAATTTCATATTCAGCCTATTGATCATGTCTCTGGCAATTCCAATAGCTCTTCCACTTACTGCTTGTTTTTAGAAAAGTCTTTTTCCTTCATATAAAAAAAGTTAAATAAATTATTCATATTTTCAAAGATTATTTCACAACTGGATGTAGTTAGGAATAGAGGTTAAGAGGACATACTCTGGAAACTAATTACCTGAAATTGAATACCAGCTGCGATGTAAACTTGGGCAAGTTATTCAAACTCTATATGCTTTAGTTTTCTCAACTCTAAAATGGTGGGTAGTAATAATAATTACCACCCTATAGGTTTATTGCAAAGATTAAATAAATTAATTCATGGAGGATTGCTGGCAAATAGTAAGCACTGTTTGCTGCTTACAATAAATGCAAGCAATTAGTATAATTCCCTGGTTAATTCAGAGTCCAGTAACAAGGAAGAGAGATATTGTCTTCAATATTCCGTCTGGATCTTCTACTTACCATTCTAATTATTCTTCAAATTGCTAGCTGTACATGGTTTCTCCAGGAGTGTAAGGAAAATAAGCAGGTCTTACTTAAGTGTTGATGGATTCTAGTATTAATTCCTGGCTTTTTTTTTCTTGTGGCACTTTCGAGTGTTTTGATTGGGATATTTAATACTAATATCTAGCTGAACTTTCTAGAGCTGACCTTCCAAGAATGCTTTTGAGTTCTCTGATTCAGTGATATACCCTACACCACTTCATTTGTTTGTGTCAGATAATTTTAGCAGGAAGTTCTTTTAGGATATCCCTATGTATATCTTCCTATAGTGTCCACTTTGATAATGGAAAAACTTGGAATTTTTAGAGGCAGCTAATTCTGGAAGTGCAGGCTCAGCCCTTTTCAGCACTTTTTCTTTGCTCTGTGGTCAAAGGAGCTTTAACTGGGCTCTTGTCTTTAGAATTGTCCAGGTGCATTGCAAAATATGTATATCTCTATGTCTTCCAAACTCTAGGAACACCCATCAATTTCCTTACCATCAAAGTAACCGCACAGTATGAGCAGGCATTTGTTCTGTAGAGCAGTGTGTATCTACCCATTGCTGGAGATACTGGTTCCCCCTCCTGGAAGACCCTGAGATTCTTCTGATGAAATCCAGGTGGGAATAGAGATGGACAGAAACATGGGATGGGAAACATATCAACCTTTTTCTATTCCTGACCAAATGTTGATCATGTCTGTAATAAGCTGGAGAGAGGTGATGCATAAAATTATGGGAGAAGTTTTGCTCCACCTTGTGAGCCATAGAAATATGTTTAACAAAGCATCATCTCAATGTGTAACATAGAAAACAAGTGTTACAACTTCTGGAAGTTAGCTGGAGGCCAGGAGCAGTGTCTCATGCCTGTAATGCCAGCACTTTGAAAGGCTGAAGTGGGCAGATTGCTTCAACCAGGAGTTGGAGACCACCCTGGGCAACATGGTGAAATCCTGTCTGTACAAAAAAAAAATAAAAAATTAGCTGGGCGTGGTGGTATGACACCTGTAGTCCCAGCTACTTGGGAGGCTGAGGCAGGAAGATTGCTTGATCACGGGAGGTCAAGGCTGCAGCGAGCTGTGACAGCGCCACTGCATGGGCACAAAGTGAAACCCTTTCTAAAACAAACAAAAACTTAAAACAAAAAAATACACACCTTAGTTGAAATCTTTGATTCTTCTTTCCAGTAATGAGAAAATGTAAGGAAATGTAAAAGTGAAAACATTAAGATACTCCAAAAATGTTCTTCAGCATGGCATCACCTCAGATGAAGGATATATTTTTATATAATCACATTACCAATATAAAACCTTATAAAAAATATAATTCCCTCTCGCCTATCTATGCTCATCAATGAAAAACATCAGGAACACACCCATGGTCAAGAGAGTTTGGCTGGTTACTTGTTACAGAAAAAAAAAATCACCAACTTATGAATGGTACTTCTTCAAAGTAAGGGTGTGATGGGGGATGAATGTGATTGTGTCATCCGTAATCCAACAACCTACAATACTAATTATGTGGTCAATCCAGGATCCATATATGTGAAGTTGTGGGTTTGTGTGAGTGTGTGTACCATTATCTGTGCCCTCTAATATGTTGCATTGACCCAATACTAACATGCACTATCTGAATTACCACAGACTTACTAACATCTTGACATCGACAAGTACAATTTCTTTAGTCTTATTCTGGAGGAGGATGTTGACTATTTTGACCCTTTTGGTTTTTATATAATTTTTTCAAAACTAATAAATTTATTAAAAATAAACAGCCTTCATGACAAATATTGGAATTGCATTAATTGCAGAAAACAATTTGAGGAGAAATAGCAATATAATGACTGAGTCTTATTGGTCATAAATTTCCTTTATGCGTCCATTTATTTAAGTCTCATGTAACATCTTACAGTTTTAGTTTTTAAACATGTTATTGCAGGTCTGAACATACTGTGTTAAATTTACTTCTAAATGTCTTTTTGTTGTTGTTACTACCAATTGGAACTTATTAAAATTAGTTTTTTGTTTTTTGTTTGTTTGTTTGTTTTCTGAGTCGGAGTCTCGCTCTGTCGCCCAGGCTGGAGTGCAGTGGCTCAGTCTCTGCTCACTGCAACCTCCGCCTCCTGGGTTCAAGCAATTCTCCTATTTCAGCCTCCCGAGTAGCTGGGATTATAGGCACCTGCCACCACGCCTGGCTAATTTTTGTATTTTTAGTAGAGACAGTGTTTCACCATATTGGCCAGGCTGTTCTCTTGGCCAGGCTGGTCTCGAACTGCTGACCTCGTGATCACCCCACTTCAGTCTCCCAAAGTTCTGGGATTACAGGGATGAGCCACCACGCCTGCCGTTGTAGTGCTTTGAGATAGAACTGCTGCTTTTTCTTTTCTTTCCTTTTCTTTTTTGAGACGGGGCTCACTCTGTTACCCAGGCTGGAGTGCAGTGGCACCATCTCGGCTCACCGCAACCTCTGCCTCCTGGCTTCAAGCGATTCTCCTGCCTCACCCTCCTGAGTAGCTGTGACTACAGGAGCTCGCCACCATGCCTGGCTAATTTTTGTGTTGTTGTTGTTGTTGTTGTTGTTGTTGTTGTTGTTGTTGTTGTTTTAGTAGAGATAGGGTTTCACTATGTTGGCCAGGCTGGTTTTGAAAGATCTAGAACCAGAAATACCATTTGACCCAGTAATCCCATTACTGGGTATATAGTCAAAGGAATATAAATCATTGAATATTTTTGTCTAGGTATTTCCTTATCTAAGTTTTCTAGTACTTAAACTCTGTTTATCACTATATGTTACTATTTCACCCTTAAAATAAAATATTCTTTAGGGCCTTAAAGTAGAAACAAATGGCACACTCAAATGGAATAATATAGAACAGACTATATAACAAAGTGTGAGCCTGAATAATATCGACCAGGGATAATAAAGCATCCCAGGGCTAGCAACAGCCTCGAGAAATTCCCATTTTGAGGCCTGAAAGATACAATGAGGCAGTGATATTGGAACTAGTAAGATCTGCAGTTTTAGAAAAGGCCCACTGTAAATGCTAGAAGATAGCATCTGGCCTTTTGGCTAAGATCAAGTGTAAATGACTAGAAGACTTTGAAAGAGAAATCTTCACCAACCTATGGTCCTGTAGGTAAGAAATCTAAGGAATAACTATCTTGACTCTTGTCTTTCATCCTCTTCCCTCCAGCTGATGATTACTCATTGGCTGAAACAAAGGACAGTTCAGAGTGCAAGACACCTGTTTGATGCTACCTGTAAACTTCCAGGATCCAAGCACATATGAAGAAATGTGGACTAATACCAGAGTCAAGTAGAGAACATCCAACAACATCTTAGATTATGCATGATTAATGCTTATATTCTCTCAGCAGTTTGACGATAACCACAGTTTCACTGTTTTGGTTATCCAGTCTTTCTACAATTTTAATTTTCACTCCTTTCACGTGGTCTCTCTTTTCTCTAGTATTTTTAAAATTTGTTTTTGTCTTTGGCAGTATACAGTTTTAGTATTGAGTTTCATGTTATTTATTTTGCTTTGGACATAGATCTATCTAAAGAGATACAAACTTTATCTCTTCAAATATTATCTCACTTCCATTTTTTCTGCTCTTTACACTTGAGATGCTAAGTGATATATACATATATATTAAATCTTCTTATTTCATCCTCCATATAGCTTATCTGTTCATATTTTGTGTCTCTATGTCTTTTGGTGTTTAATTCTTTTAGATACATTTTCTTTCCAGTTAATTTCAGTACATTAAGTTACAGACTTTATTTATGGAAAATCCATTTTAAGAGGGCTGTCCTTTGATTCCTAATAGTCTTTTGCAGAATGATTTTTGTATTGCCTCTTTTGTTTATAAAATTTTCATGCATATATTTCTATAGTTTTTATTATTCTAATATATTCAGCCCTTCATGATTTATATATATTATTTATGCTTCTAGCTGAATTTCCACTTATAGTTGCTTGTATTCTTTTATACCATGTGATCATGGTAAATCCACATTTTGACTTGATATTTATAAGTCCTACAGGACTATACTGGTGAAACATTTCTTTAATAAAAAAGTTGCTTTTGTCTCTAAATGTAGTCAGTGGAACCACTGGCCAAATGAGAATAACCCTCTCAATATCTCATCTCGAGATAAAAGTCGGCTTCATTCATAGCTGAAGAAAGGCTTGGTTCCCAGTTGCGGAGTGACAATAGGCATGCAGTAACTGGGCAGAGCTTATTGACATGTAGGTCATCTTCAAGTGTTCCAGGTCCAATTCACATTAATTTTGGATGGAGATGTAGACCGTGGAGACTTTTATTACCTCTTTTATTATCTTTTTTTGAAAGTAATTCATCTCAAACACTGCCTTCCATGGTCTAATTTTTCTGCAAGGGGTAGATAACCCAGTCTACATATTTAGCCATAGTAACAGAAGTAGCAGTGCTTCTAAACCAACTTTAGTGTAGATGACACTTTTATAATGAACGTAAAACAATTTTGAATTTTTTTTTTTTTTTTTTTGACACAGTGTGGCTTTGTTGCCCAGGCTGGAATGCAGTAGTGCAGTCTTGGCTCACTGCAGCCTTGACCTCCTGAGCTCAAGTGAGCCTCGCACCTAAGCCTCCCAAGTAGCTGGGACTACAGGCACACAGCATCAAACCTGTTTGTTTGTTTTTTAATTTTTGTAGAAACGGAGATTACACCATGTTACCCAGGCTGATCTTGAACTCCTGGACTCAAGCCATTCTCCTTACTTAGCCCCCCAAAGGTCTTGGATTACAGGCATGAACCACTGTGTCTGGCCTGACCTTGCTTGTCTTTAACAATGTTACTTAGTGTTTCTTACAGCTGTGGTAACTAATTTATTGATTCCTTTGCATCTCATTATCTATATTCCCACACAATGATTCAAGACTGAAATTCTTCCAGGCTTTTTCCTAGAACAACTTCTAGTTGTTCTAGGAAATAAATTCTATGTTATTTCCTAAATGGCCTTACTCAGGTTCTAAGCTAATTTATACTATAGATAAATGAAAAAATAAATATCTCTGCCTAGATATTTCTATCAATTGTCAGGTGACTATAATACATGTTTTAAAATATTTCCAAAGTCAAAAAGCCTGAAAATAATCTTTACTCTTGAATGATAACTTCACTGTATATAGTATTCCAGATTATATTTATTTGTTTTTAACACATTAAATATTTTGCTTCACGCTCTTCTTAGTTGTGTGGTTTCTAACAAAAAGTTCACTGTAATTCTTATCTTTGTTTCTCCATAGGTTAGATCCCCAAGGCACAAATTTCTCGTTTCATATTTTTTTCAGTGCTTTGATTCATCATTATTTATTATTTATTTATTATGCTATCTTAGAGTTTTGAGTTCTGGGTATTTGGCTCTATCTACTCTTAAAAGTTTATTTAAAAGGTTGGATTATTTCCTAAATGTATAAATAAAATAATTAAAATGTTTGTAATGTCTTAAACCTTACATTCAGTCAACAGATTCAGTTTTATTACATATATGTAAATCAGACATTTTTAAAATTTATATTTATAAGGAGGATTTGCTAAACACAACTTTTAGCAAAAAATCTATATGAAGAGATCTTACACACCTACAGAGAGACAAAACAAATTTGACATCTAGTCAGTTACATTATTTATTTTACATATGTATGTTCTTTTTACTTGCAGAGTTGCGTATGTTATACTTGACAGCATTGCAAATATGGGTTAATGGAGTAGTTATTATGTGAACTAATGGAATAGTTATGCGAACTAAAACTAAAGTAAACTGAACAGACTCTAAAACACTTTTGATTGAAAACATAACTATTTTAGGGCAGCAGGGTGCTTAAATCATGAGTTTTTCAAAATTTGCAGCACTTTGGGCATAAAACAGACATTATTATGTAAATACCATCAAGAGGTTAAATATATGTCTTTAAAATAAATGACTGTCCTAATAACACCAGATAGCCTGACCTAAAAATAAGTAATTTGTTTTAATGCCAAAAAGTCATGATGATTTTTAACATCTACAAAAACATCTTTTCAAATAATTATATTGCTCATTATATACTTTGTGGAGTAAACTATTGTGTCTACACGGTATTGGCTATGGTTTGAACATGGACTCTCCAAAATTCAGGTGTTCCCAATGTGAAGGTATTAAGAAGTGGGTTCATTAAGAGGTGAGAAGGCTGTGAGAACTTCTTGATCATGAATGGGATTAAGGTCTTTATAAAAGAGGCTTTATCCAGCATTTGGCTAGCTTGCTCTTTTACCTTCTGCCCTGTGGAGACAAGGCCAGAATGCCTTTAGCAGACCAAATGCTGGTACCTTAGTCTTGGACTTCTCTGCCTCCAGAATTCTGAGGCAATACATTTCTGTTCTTTATAAATTAACCAGTCTTTGATATTTGGTTACAGTAACACAAAACAGAGTAAGACAGTGTGTTGCATATACTCCCAATGTGTTCCAGCTTTTTTATTTCATTTACATAATAATTAAATATAAATTTTCAAGATAAATATAAAGTCTGTGTGTATTTCTAATTTTGTTCCAACTCCACAGAAATTGTGAGAATATTTAGACAAACAAGTAATCTGTTTTTTTCTATAACTCAAATAAGTTAATTCTTATGTTAAATTACTTATTATATAATTAACTATGAAATAATTTTTTGCATTATTTGTTATGAAGTAAAGAACATTTCCATAAATGTTTGAGCTCTTGCAAGTAAAATAATAGGGCAAATTGTTTTAAGAATCATTCAAAAATTAATATTTCTATTTAGACAGAAGAAACACCTGTGAGTTTATTCGTTTATCAACATTTCAGTTTAATTAACAAAGGGTTTATTGAGCATAATTATAGACCAGACACTGCACTGCAAGCAGAGAAAAAAAAAAACGAATAAAAAGAAGTGCTAATTCTAGCTGTTCATTGTTCATTAGGCACAGGCAGGTATTTACAAAAAAGAGGTAATATACCATCATTGATGCCTTGAGAAAAATACAGGCCGGGCGCGGTGGCTCACGCCTGCAATCCCAGCACTTTGGGAGGCCGAGGCGGGGGGATCTTGAGGTCAGGAGATCGAGACCATCCTGGCTAACACGGTGAAACCCCGTCTCTACTAAAAATAAAAAAAATTAGCCTGGCGTGATGGCGGGCGCCTGTACTCCCAGATACTCAGGAGGCTGAGGCAGGAGAATGGCCTGAACCCGGGAGGTGGAGCTTGCAGTGATCTGAGATCATGCCATTGCACTCCAGCCTGGGCGACAGAGCGAGACTCAGTCTCAAGAAAAAAAAAAAGAAAAGAAAAGAAAAAGAAGAATACTACTAAAGTTTAGAAAATGCACATAGACTGCCTACTTCTAAAGATTTTACTTCCTGTTTGTTTTCAATATTATAAGTTTCAAATCTTGCTCTGCACCTGATGAGCCTGGTTCATTAGTGTCATTCAGCAATTGTTAAGATAATTGCCCTGATATGACTACTAAGCTTGCCGTGTGAGGAACCTCATCCTGGAGATGTGTGGACCATCACGTAGCTTTTCTGTATAGATGATAGCAAATGTTATATAAGAATCCTGCCAGGATAAGGAGGTGGAAAAACAAAAAGGAGCACAAAAGTACTGCATCAAAACCTGGATATCTCCCTCTCATGGTACGGGAACCTTTACAGGAAACAATAAGCTCATAGACAACTTCAAAAATAGTCTTTTACTTTGACATTGAATTATTTAGCTGTACAAATAGTATTAAAATATAGATTTTACGCTAAGAACCTAAATTAAAGAAGTATAATATCTCTCCACTCCCATGTTATACAACCCAATTGTAGCTGTTACATTAACCATTTTAATGCTTTCTTTTTTTTTCTTTTTTTTTTTTTTGAGACAAAGTCTCGCTCACACCCAGGCTGGAGTGCAGTGGCACAATCTCGGCTCACTTCAGCCTCCACCTCCCAGGTTCAAGCGATTCTCCTGCCTCAGCCTCCAGAGTAGCTGGGATTACAGGCATACACCACCACACGTGGCTAATTTTTTTATTTTTAGTACAGATGGGATTTCACCATGTTGGTCAGGCTGGTCTCAAACTCCTGACCTCAAGTTATCTGCCTGTTTTGGCCTCCCAAAGTGGTCAGATTACAGGCATGAGCCACTGTGTCCAGCCGACAAATTTAATTCTTATGTGTAATGTTAAAAGTGTAGGTCATTTCCAAATTACAAAAAAAAAAAACCCTTACATTTAATTTAGTTTTACATTTAAAATATCTGATGAAGTTTTTGTTACTATGTATCCCTCTTTAGATTATATTCTGAATTGATTAATTTAGAATATCCAAGTAGTAAATTAAAATTTGCCAGAATTCCATTAATTACATGTAATGGACTTACAGAGATCAAAATTCAAATATGGGTACTGCATGACCATTTGTGTTTAATGCTATGATATGGTTTGGCTCTGTGCCTCTACCCCAATCTCATGTTGAATCGTAATTCCCAAAGTTGGGGCACTGACCTGGTGGAAAGTGATTGGATCATGGGGGTAGATTTGCCCCATGCTGTTCTCATGATAGTGAGTGAGTTCTCGCAAGATCTGATGGTTTAAAAGTGTGTGGCACTTCCCTCTTGCTCTTTCTGTCTCCTGCCAACATGTGAAGAAGGTGTTTGCTTTCCCTTTGCCTTCTGCCATGATTGTAAGTTTCCTGAGGCTTCTGGCTATGCTTCGTGTACCAGACTGTGCAACTGTGAGTCAATTAAACCTCTTTTCTTCATAAATTATCCAGTCTCTGGTAGTTCTTCATAGTAGTGTAAGAAAATTGGTATCGAGAGCTGGGTATTGCTTTAAAGATACCTGAAAATGTGGAACTAACTTTGGATCTAGGTAATAGTCAGAGGGTGGAACAGTGTGGAGGGCTCAGAAGAAGACAGGAAGATGAGGAAAAGTTTGGAACTCCCTGGAGACCTGTTGAATTGTTGTGACCAAAATGCTGACAGTGACATGGGCAGTGAAGTCCAGGCTGAGGTGAGCTCAGATGGAGACAAGGAACTTATTGGGAACCGGAACAAAGGTCACTCTTGCTATGCTTTCACAAGGAGACTGACAGCATTGCAACCCTGCCTTAGGCATATGTGGAACTTTGAATCTGAGATAGATGACTTAGGGTATCTGGCAGAAGAAATTTCTAAGCAGCAAAGCATTCAAGAGATAGCCTGACTGCTCCTAACAGCATATGTGTTCACAAAGAGATGGTCTGAAATTGCAACTTATGTTTAAAAGGGAATCAGAGCATAAAAGTTTGGGAAAGTTGTAGCCTGACCACGTGGGAGAAAAGAAAAGCCCATTTTCTGGGTAGAAATTCAAGCTAGCTGCAGAAATTTGCTTAGTAAAGAGAAGCCAAATGTTAAAAGCCAAGACAATGGGGAAAATGTCTTTAGGGAATGCCAGAGACCTTCAAGGCAGCCCCTCTCATCACAGTCCTGGAGGCCTAGGAGGAAAAAACTGGTTTTGTGGGGTTAACCCAAGGTCCTGTTGCTCTGTGCAACCTCGTGACATGGCACCCTGTGTCACAGCCACTCCAGCTCCAACTGTGGCTACCGGGGCCAAAGCACAGCTCAGGCTGTTGTTTCAGCAGGTGCAAGCCCTAAGCCTTGGTAACTTGTATGTGGTGTTGAGCCTGCTCTTGCACAGAAGGCAAAAGTAGGCACTTGGAAGCCTCCACCTAGATTTCAGAGGATGTATGCAAATGCCTAGATGTTGAGGCAGTCTGCTGCAGGGGCAGAATGCTCATGGAGAAACTTTACTAGGGCAGCACAGAAGGGAACTGTGGGATTGAAACCCCCATACAGAGTTCCCACTGGGGCACTGCCTAGTGGAGCTGTGAGAAGAGGGCCATCTTTCTCCAGAATGGTAGTTCCACCGACAGACTGCACCATGTACCTGGAAAAGCTGCAGGCACTCAACACCAGGCCTTGAACACAGACACAGGGGATATACCCTGTAGAACCACAGGGGCAGAGCTGCCCAAGGCCATGGGAGCCCACTTCTTGCATCAGCTTGACCTGGATGTGAGACATAGAGTCAAAGGAGATCATTTTGCAACTTTAAGGTTTAATGACGGCCCTATCGGATTTTGAACTTGCATGGGGCCTGTTGCCCCTTTGATTTGGCCAATTTCTCCCACTTGGAACAAGTGCATTTACCCAATGCCTGTACCTCCATTGTATCTAGAAAGTCACTAACTTGCTTTTGATTTTACAGGCTCATAGGTGGAAGGGACTTGCCTTGTCTCAGATGAGACTTTGAACTTGGATTTTTGGGTTAATGCTGTAATGACTTGGGGGACTGTTGGGAAGGCATGATTATGTTTTCAAATGTGAGAAGGACATGAGATTTGGGAGGGCCCAGAGGTGGAATGATATGGTTTGGCTCTGTGCACCCACCTAAGTCTCATGTTGAATTTTAGTTCCCAGCGTTGAGGGAGGTACCTGGTGGGAGATGATTGGATCATGGGGGTGGATTGATCCATTTTTAAAATGTTCAGTTCATCATTTCACCAGATTATTTGATAACTGCTGATGACCACTGCCTATTTCCATGTGTTTTAATGAAGGATTATAAAATAATGACTTTCTAATCAATTTTCTTGAATCTATCATTAACCATTCTTCTTTTAAATATAAAACAACTATGCTTCATCAATGTTGTCATAGCATTAAGTACAGTCAGTTGAAGAGAGGCATGTACACAATAAACTCCTTCTCTTTACTTATACTTACCCATTTCAGAAAATGGTCTTCCAGCAATCTTTAAAGACTTTTTGCATCTGTTTTTTAATTAAAGATTTTTTATTTGTAATGCATTATTTTATTTTAATGCTCAAATTGTTCCACTTACAACTAGTAGGAATTCTCTGAGAAAACCAAAATCAACTGAAACAGATTCCCCTCCTCCCCAAAAATCCAAAGAATGTTTTAGTCATCATATTAAGAAAACACAGCTGCATTAATAAAGTCAGTGTAAAATTTGATTCGTTTTCTGAAATTACATTTAAAAATGTTTGATAACTTGATGTTCAAATAAAAAGAGATATTTCAGACACATTGACTGATCCAAATGTTTAGTGTGAGACTGTAGATAGTTGCCTTTCTTATAATTAAACTTCTTATCTAGTTAAAGTATCAATCAGATATGTCAAATGTGCCAAGTTCCAATGACTGTTGTTA